>NC_000023.11:83371632-83674663 GCF_000001405.40 Homo sapiens | reverse complement strand
TGCCTAAATTCATCAGGGATGTTGACCAATAGCTTTATTTATTTGTTGTGTCTTTGCCAGGCTTTTGTATTGCTGTGATGTTGGCTACAACTATCTGATCTTTGACAAACCTGAGAAAAACAAGCAATGGGGAAAGGATTCCCTATTTAATAAATGGTGCTGGGAAAACTGGCTAGCCATATGGAGAAAGCTGAAACTGGATCCCTTCCTTACACCTTATACAAAAATCAATTCAAGATGGATTAAAGACTTAAACGTTAGACCCAAAACCATAAAAACCCTAGAAGAAAACCTAGGCAATACCATTCAGGAAATAGGCATGGGCAAGGACTTCATGTCTAAATCACCAAAAGCAATGGCAACAAAAGACAAAATTGACAAATGGGATCTAATTAAACTAAAGAGCTTCTGTACAGCAAAAGAAACTACCATCAGAGCGAACAGGCAACTTACAAAATGGGAGAAAATTTTTGCAACCTACTCATCTGACAAAGGGCTAATATCTAGAATCTACAATGAACTCAAACAAATTTACAAGAAAAAAACGAACAACCCCATCAAAAAGTGGGCAAAGGACATGGACAGACACTTCTCAAAAGAAGACATTTATGCAGCCAAAAAACACATGAAAAAATGCTCATCATCACTGCCCATCAGAGAAATGCAAATCAAAACCACAATGAGATATCATCTCACACCAGTTAGAATGGCAATCATTAAAAAGTCAGGAAACAACAGGTGCTGGAGAGGATGTGGAGAAATAGGAACACTTTTACACTGTTGGTGGGACTGTAAACTAGTTCAACCATTGTGGAAGTCAGTGTGGCGATTCCTCAGGGATCTAGAACTAGAAATACCATTTGACCCAGCCATCCCATTACTGGGTATATACCCAAAGGACTATAAATCATGCTGCTATAAAGACACATGCACATGTATGTTTATTGCGGCATTATTCACAATAGCAGAGACTTGGAACCAACCCAAATGTCCAACAATGATAGACTGGATTAAGAAAATGTGGCACATATACACCATGGAATACTATGCAGCCATAAAAAATGTTGAGTTCATGTCCTTTGTAGGGACATGGATGAAATTGGAAATCATCATTCTCAGTAAACTATCACAAGTACAAAAAATCAAACACCACATATTCTCACTCATAGGTGGGAATTGAACAATGAGATCACATGGACACAGGAAGGGGAACATCACACTCTGGGGACTGTTGTGGTGTGGGGGGAGGGGGGAGGGATAGCATTGGGAGATATACCTAATGCTAGATGACGAGTTAGTGGGTGCAGCGCACCAGCGTGGCACATGTATACATATGTAACTAACCTGCACAATGTGCACATGTACCCTAAAACTTAAAGTATAATAATAAAAGAAAAAAATAAATAAATAAATAAATAAAATAAAAAGTAGTTAGAAAGTAAAAAAAAAGAATGAGTTAGGAAGGATTCCATTCTCCTTGATTTTTTGAAAAAGTTTCAATACGATTTGTATCAGTTATTCTTTATACATCTGGTTGTATTTTGTTGTGGATTTATCTGTTCCAGAGCTTTTCCGATTTTGTAAGATTGTATTATTTATTCAATTTCAGGACTCCTTATTGATATGTTCAGGATTTTAATTTCTTTCTGGTTCAAACTTGGGAGGTTGTATGTTTCCAGGAATTTATCAATTTCTCTCAGATTTTCTATTTTGCATGCACAGAGGTGTTCATAATAGTCTCTGAGAGGTTTTTTGTATTTCTTTGAGGTTCATGATAACATCACCTTTGTGGTTTCTGACTGCATTTATTTGGATCTTCTATCTTATTCTTTATTAATTTAGCTAGCTGTGTATAATTCTTATTTATTGTTTCAAATAACAAACTTTTGCTTTTGTTGACATTTTGTATCTGTTTTCCTGTCTGAATTTTGTTTAGCACAGCTCTGGTTTTGCTTATTTTTTTTCTTCCGCTATCTTTTATGTTAGTGTATTACTCTGTTTTCATGCTGCTGATAAAGACATACCTGAGACAGGAAAGAAAAATAGGTTTAATTGGACTTACAGTTCCACATGGCTGGAGAGGCCTCAGAATCATGGCAGGAGATGAAAGGCACTTTTTACATGGCGGTGGCAAGTGAAAATGAGAAAGAAGCAAAAGCAGAAATCCCTGATAAACCCATCAGATCTCATGAGACTTATTCACTACCACAAGAGTAGCATGGGGAAAACTGGCCCCATTATTCAATTACCTCCCTCTGGGTCCCTCCCACAACATGTGGGAATTCTAGGAGATAAAATTCAAGTTGAGATTTGGGTGGGAACACAGCCAAACCATATTATTCCACCCCGGCCCCTCCAAGCCTCATGTTTTTACATTTCAAAACTAATCATTTCTCCCCAATAGTACCCAAAGTGTTAACTCATTTCAGCCTAAACCCAAAAGTCCATAATCCAAAGTCTCATTTGAGACAAAGCAAGTCTCTTCCGCCTATAAGCCTGTAAATCAAAAGCAAGCTAGTTACTTCCTAGATACAATGGGGGTACAGGTATGGGGTAAATACAGGCATTCCAAAAGGGAGAAATTGGCCAAAACAAAGGGGTTATGGGGTCTATGCAAGTCCAAAATCCAGCAAGGCAGTCAAATTTTAAAGCTCCAAAATGATCTCCTTTGACTACAGTTCCCACATCCAAGTCATGCTGATGCAAGAGGTGGGTTCCCATGTTCTTGGGCAGCTCTGCCCCTGTGTCTTTGTAGGATACAGCCTCCCTCCTGGCTGCTTTCATGGCCTGGCTTTGAGACTCTGCAGCTTTTCCAGGCACACAGCACTAGCTGTCGGAGCATCCACCATTCTGGTGTCTGGAGGACGGTGGCCCTCTTCTCACAAATCCACTAGGCAGTGCCCCAGTAGAGACTCTGTTTGGTGGCTCTGATCCCACATTTCCCTTTCAAACTGCCCTAGCAGAGGTTCTCTATGAGAGCCCTGTGCCTGCAGCAAACTTTTGCCTGGGCATCCAGGCGTTTCCATATATCTTCTGAAATCTAGGTGGAGGTTCCCAAACTTCAGTTCTTGACTTCTGTACAACTGCAGGCTCAACACCACATGGAAGCTGCCAAGGCTAGGGGCATCCACCCTCTGAAGCCACAGCCTGAGCTCTAGGTTGTCCATTTTCAGCCATGGCTGGAGCAGCTGGGATGCAGGGCACCAAGTCTCTAGGCTGCAAATTGCACGGGCACCCTGGGCTTGGCCCACAAAATCACTTTTTTCTCCTGGGCCTCTGGGCTTGTGAGGGGAGGGCTGCCGTGAAGGTCTCTGACATGGCTTGGGGACATTTTCCCCACAGTCTTGGGGATTAACTTTAGTCTCCTTGCCACTTATGCAAATTTCTTCAGCCAGCTTGAATTTCTCCTCAAAAAAATTGATTTTTCTTTTCTACTGCATCTTCAGGCTGCAAATTTTCTGAACTTTTATGCTCTGTTTCCCTTTTAAAATGGAATGCTTTTAACAGCAACCAAGTCACCTTTAGAATGCTTTGCTGCTTAGAAATTTCTTCCACCAGATACCCTAAATCATCCCTCTCAAGTTCAAAGTTCCACAAATCTCTAGGGCAGGGGCAAAATGCTGCCAGTCTCTTTGCAAAAACATGAGACTCACCTTTGCTCCAGTTCCCAACAAGTTCCTCATGTCCATCTGAGACCACCTCAACCTGAGCCTTATTGTTCATATCACTATCAGCATTTTTGTCAAAGCCATTCAACAAGTCTCTAGGAAGTTCCAAACTCTCCCATATTTTCCTGTCTTCTTCTGAACCCTCCAAACTGTTCCATCCTGTGCCTGTTACCCAGTTCCAAAGTAGCTTCCACATTTTCAGGTATCTTTTCAGCAGCGCCTCACTCCACTGGTACCAATTTACTATATTAGTCTGTTTGCATAATGCTGATGAAGACATACCTGAGACTGGGAAGAAAAAGAGGTTTAATTGGACTTACAGTTCCACATGGCTGGAGAGGCTTCAGAATCACGGTGGGAGGTGAAAGGCACTTCTTACATGGCAGCAGCAAGAGAAAATGAGAAAGAAGCAAAAGCAGAAACCCCTGATAAACCCATCAGACCTCGTGAGATTTATTCACTATCACGAGAATAGCATGGGAATGACCAGCCCCAGTGATTCAATTGCCTACACCTGGGTCCCTCCCACAACATGTGGGAATTCTAGGAGATAAAATTCAAGTTGAGATTCAGGTGGGGACACAACCAAACCATATCAGTTAATTTTCTCTTTTTTTCCTTGATCTTCTAGTTGTGATGTTAAGTTGTTAACTTGAGATATTTCCAACTCCTTGATGTAGGTGTTTAGCACTATAAACTTTTCTCTTAACACCTGTGTCCCAGAGATTCTGCTATATTGTATCTTTATTTCATTAGTTGCAAAGAATTTTTTTTTCATTTTCTCCTTAATTTCATTGTTTACCCAAATGTCATTTGGAAGCAGGTTGTTTACTTTCCATGTAATTTTATGGTTTGGGGAGATGTTATTGGTATCTATTTCTATTTTTGTTGCACTGTGCTCTGAGATGGTAGTGTGGTTGGTATTATTTTGGGGGTTGCATTTTTTAAAGATTGCTTTATGGTTGAACATGATCTTAGAATATGTACTATGTGCAGATGAGAAAAATGTATTTTATTCTGTTGTTGTTACATGGAGTATCGTGTGGATGTCTTTTAGGTCCATTTGGTCAAGTATCAAGTTAAGTTCCTGAATATTTTTGCTAGTTTCCTGCCTTGATGATCTGTCTAATATTGTCAGTGGGGTATTGAAGTCTCCCACTATTATTGTGTGGTTAGTTAAGTCCCTTTGTACATCTCTAAGAACTTGTTTTATTAATCTTGGTGCTCCAGTGTTGGGTGCACATATATTTAGGATAGTTAAGTCGTCTTGTTTAATTGCACCCTTTATGTAATTTTCTTTCTTGTCCCTTTTAATCATTGTTAGTTTAAAGTCTGTTTTGTCTAAATTAAGAATAGCAACCTCTGCTCTTTTTTTGTTTTGTTTTCGACTTGCTTGGTAAATCATTCTCCATCCCTTCACTTTGAGCCTATGGATGCAATTTCATGTGAGATTGGTCCCTGAAAGACAGCATACAATCGTGTCTTGCTTTTTTTTCCAACTTGCCACTCACCGTCTTTTAAGTGGGCCATTGAGCCCATTTACATACATGGTTAATATTGATATGTGACAATTTGATCCTGCCATCATGTTATTAGCTGGTTGTTATGTAGACTTGATTGTATAGTTGCTTTATAGTGTCAGTGGGCTATGTACTTAAATGTGTTTTTGTAGTGGCTGGTAGCAGTATTTCATTTCCATGTTTAGCTCTCCCTTTAGAGCCTCTTGTAAAGCAGGACTGGTGGCAATGAATGCTCTTAGCATTTGCTTGTCTGAAAAGAATTTTATTTCTTCTCTTATGAAGCTTCCTTTGGCTGGATATGAAATTCATGATTGGATTTGTTTTCCTTAAGGATGCTGAGTTTAAGCCCTCCATCTCTTCTTCTGGCTTTTAGGATTTCTACTGAAAGTTCTGCTGTCAGCCTGATAGGGTTGCCTTTGTATTGATGTCCCTTCTCTCTAGCTATCTTTGAGATTTTTTCTTTTATGTTGACTTAGAGAATTTGATGGCAATGTGTCTTGGGGATTGTCCTCTTTCATAGTGTCTCTCAGCAGTTCTCTGAATTTTCTATATTTGCATCTCAACCTCTCTAGTGAAGCCGAGCAAATTTTTTATAATATCCTCAAATATATTTCCCAATTTGCTTGCTCTCTCTCCATCTCTTTCAGGAATGCCAGTGATTTGTACCTTTGGTCCGTTTACATAATAACATATTTCTCGGAAGTTTTGTTCATTTTTTAATTTTTGTAAGTTTTCTCTCACTTTGTTGAGTTGAGGGAGTGATTTCCATGCTCTGAGATTATTTCCTGAGATTGGTCATTTCTATTATTAATGCTTCTAATCATATTCTAAATTTCCTGCAGTGATTTTTTTTTTTTTTCAGAAATTCATTTTGGTTCTTTCTTAAGAAGGCTATATAATCTTTCAACTCTTGGACAAATTTACCGTATTCCTTGGATTTAGTTTCAACCTTCTCCTGTATGTCTATGAAATTTCTTTTCATCCAGATCCTGAATTCTAGGTCTGTCACCCCAGCAATTTCATACTGGTAAGGTCCATTGCTGAGGAGCTAGTGTGGTCATTTGGAGGTGGGAAGACACTCTGGCTTTTAGTTACCAGAGTTCTTGCACTGGTTCTTTCACATCTGTGTTGGCTGACGTTAAATTTTTGAAGTTGCTGTCTTTTGGATAGAGGTTTTTGCTATTATATTAATATTATTTTATGTCCTTGCGGGTTTAACTTTTGTAAAAGTTGGGTTTAGTTGATTGGCTTCATTTATGGATGATTTCAGGGAGCCAAGACTCAGCTCAACACTCCTAGTGTATGTGCTCTAACCTTGGAAGTCTGGGACCAGGCTTGCAGCTTTGTTCTCTGAAAACTCAGGTTTAAGCCAACAAAGGTTAGAGCATCCTAAAGGATTATGGTAAGGATTCACAGAATGGCTCCACCACAGCCATTCCCATACAAATTCTCTGTAATTCTTTCTCTGCCAACTCTCTAGGAAGATCTCTTTTCCAGTTCAGACATCTGTGGGGGCCATAGGTTCTCCACAGCTAGGATTCTGGAGGCCTATGATGAGAATGGCCACTCCAGGCCTATATAACACACTACTTCCCTAGAAGTTTCTCAGTGCCAGGAAAAAGTCCTGGTGTCTGTCAATTATGTGCAGCCTTCCCACTTGCTAGCTCTTTCAACCTAGGCTCTGCATCCACCCTGCATCCACTCTCAATGCCTTGTTTCCAAAGATCTGTTTGGATTATGCTGGTCTACTTGATGTTCTGATGACTTTCACTGGGAGAAGCTCTTCCTGGCTGCATCTAGTTGGCCATCTTAGCCCTCTGTGATTGCAGTTGTGAAAAAAGTTCTACTGTGTGTAAAATGCTATGAAATAGCATCACATGTGATAAAGAAATATTTAGGGACTAGATGTAGCCAGGTGGCACAGCTCCCATCAAGGAATTGAAATGACTGTCATGCTCCTAAAAGATCTTCAAAGGGAAGGCACTAAGAGTGGACCGAGGGAAGAAAAAGCAGCTGGGCTAAATGGGGAGAAAGCTGAGAACCTACAAGTGGTTACAGTGCATCCAGACTCATTCCTGGCACCCAAAGACTGGGGAAATGTGTGAGGTGAACTGGCAAGGAGAAAGCCACTCTCACTATGATCCTGTGGAAGCCCAGCAGGAGGAGACAACTCCACCACCATGGACAATCAAGTTGGGAGGGAGAGCTGCTTGGATAAGTGATAGGAGCAGCAAGCTAGCTGATGTAGAGCCCAGAAGGTTTGGTGCAGGAAAGTCTGTAATAGAGCATGGCTAGGGATGGTTATACCCCTAGGCTCATCTTGCTCCCCTAGGAGACTTTAGCCATAGGGAAACTGTCAGTCCTAAATTCTGCAAGGCACTGTTACCCATCAGACTGAACCAATTTGACTTGAGCACCCCTTGGTCTGCTGGCCTCTCCCAGAGCCACAGCATGGCCATGCCTGCTTGCAGGGCAGCCTCAGGTGCCCTAGGGGTCCACACCATGGCTTCTGCACTGGTGGACCATTCCTGAATGGTAAACAGCTCCAGCAGGGCAACCTCTATGGCTACTAACCAGCCCACATGCTTTCCTGACATACTGCAGCTTCTGCCTTGCCCATGGCAACTCCCCATATAGCTTTGCTGGTGCATAATTGCATAGGCAGTGTTTGCCATCCGTGCCCTGCCAGTGTGCAGGAGTACAGATAGAACTTTTGTGGGCATAGAGCCAACCAGCCCCACCCCACTAGTCCCCGACCCTGGCACTAACAGCAAATCCTCCCCACCCCTGAACAACCACTCCTGCTTATACGGCACAAATAAGCCACTTAGACCTGCACCTGCCAACATCCTGCCCCCAGGCCAACACCACTTCCAGCACAACCATGCACTCAGTCCAAAGCAGGGAACTCCCACCCCACCCAGCTGCATTGCCTCTGCCACTGTGGTGAACACTCACAGGAAGGCAGGCACCCCAGCACCCACTAGCTCTCTGAGGCATCTGCCATTACAGCTGCTTCCAGCATGTGTAAATGAGAACAGGATCCACTGTCACTGCACTACAAAACACTTTGGTTAATACCACCTATCAACATGCAGTTACCAGCAGTCCAGGATGACCTCAGCCACCCCAGAGCAGTATATTTCTAACCTCAAGGATCAAGGGAACAATATCAGGGTCCAATAAAAATAATCAAGAGTTAGAACACATAGTCCAGGGGTTGGGAGATTGCGTTGGGCCCCTAACATCTCCCAGAAATGCATGCAGTCTGCTCAGTCCACCTTATACTGTAATCAAAGCCTCAAGGTAATGAAATGAAATTTTAAAAAATCCCACCCAAAGTTCAGCAACCTCTAACATGAAAGGAAGATAAGCACACAAAGATGTGAAAGAATCAGTGCAACAATGCTAACAACCCCAAAAGTCAGAGTGTCTTAATTCTTCCAAATGACTGCATCATCTCTCCAGCAAGGGTTCTGAACCAGGCTGAGAGAGCTGAAATGACAGAAATAGAATTCAGAATATAGATAGGAACAAAGATCATTGTGCTATGGGAGTACATTGAAACCCAATCCAAGGAAGCTAAAAATTATGATAAAATAATGCAGGAGCTGACAGACAAAATAGCCAGTATAGAAAAGGAAATAACCTACCTAATAGCACCAAAAAAAAACTGTAAGAATACCACAATGCAATCACAAGAATCAATGTCAATAGCAGAATAGACCAAGCAGAGGAAAGAATCTCAGAGTTTGAAGACTGTCTTTCTGAAATAAGGCAGACGAGAATAGAGAAAAAGACAATAAAAAGGAATGAACAAAACCGCCAAGAAATATGGGATTATACAAAGAAATCAAATCTATGACTTACTGGTGTCCCTGAAACCAAAGGGGAGAATGGAACCAACTTAGAAAACATATTTCAGAATATCATCCATGGGAAATTCTCAAACTCAGCTAGAGAATCCAATAATCAAATTCAGAAAATGCAGAGGACCCCAGTAAACACTTTACAAGAAGATCATTCCTACGATAGATAATCATCAGATTCTTCAAGGTTGAAATGTAAGAAATTATGCTAAAGGCAGAAAGAGAAAATGGTCAGGTAATCTACAAAGGGAAGCTCATCAGACTAAGAGCAGACCTCTCACCAGAAACTCTACAAGCCAGAAGAGATTAAGGGCCAATATGGAACATTTTTAAGTAAAGAAATTCCAACACAAAATATATTCAGTACAACTAAGCTTCCTATGAAAAAGAGAAATAAGCTCTTTTTCAGAAAAGTAAATGTTGAGGGAATTCCTTACCAGCAGCCCTGCCTTATAAGCGCTCCTGAAGGAAGCATTAAATATGGAAAGAAAAGACTGTTACCAATCACTACAAATACACATGGAAGTACACATGCCAGTGACCCTATAAAGCATCCACATAAACAAGTTGGCAAAATAACCATCTACCATCATAATGAAAGGATGAAATCCACACATATCAATACTAACCCTGAATATAAAGGGGCTAAATATCCCAATTAAAAGACACAGAGTGGCAAGCTTGATAAAGAACCAAGACCCATTGGTTTGCTGTCTTCAGGAGACCAGTCTCAATGGCAATGACACACATAGGCTTTAAATAAAGAGGTGAAGAAAAACCTATCAAGCAAATGGAAAACAGAGAAAAGCAGGGATTGCAATCCTAGTTTCATACAAAACAGACTTTAAACCAACAAAAATAAAAGAAGACAAAGAATGACATTACATAATGGTAAAGCATTTGGTTCAACAAGAAGGTCTAACTATCCTAAATATATATGCACTAAACACAGAAACATCCAGATTTATAAAGCAAGTTCTTAGAGACTTTCAATGAGACTTAGACTCCAAAAAAATAACGCTGGGAGACTTTACCACCTTTCTAAAAACATTTGACACATCATTGATAAAGAAAATTAACATATTGATGTTGGGAACTCAGCACTGCATCAAATGAAACTTATAGACATCTACAGAACCCTGTACCTAAAATCAACATAATGTACATTCTTCTCATTGACACATGGCACATAACCTAAAATCCATCACATAATTGGAAGTAAAAAACTGCAGAAAATGCAAAAGAACTAAAATCATAACAAATAATCTCTCAGAAATCTGCACAATTAAATTAGACATCAAGACTATGAAATTCACTCAAAATTATACAGTTACATGGCAATTAAATAATCTGCTCCTGAGTCACTTTTGGATAAATAATAAAATTAAGGCAGAAATCAAAAAGTTATATAAATAATGACAACAAAGATACAACGTGTCAGGACCTCTGAGACACAGCTAAGGCAGTGCTAAGAGAGAAATTATAGCACTAAACGCCCACATCGAAGAGTTAGAAAACTCTCAATTTAACAACCTAACATCACAACTAAAAGAACTAGAGAACCAAGAGAAAACCAATACTAAATCTAGAAGAAGACTAGAAATAATCAAAATTAGAGCTTAAGGGCTGGGCGTGGTGTCTCATGCCTGTAATCCCAGCATTTTGGGAGGTTAAGGTGGTTGGATCATTTGAGGTCAGGAGTTAGAGACCAGCCTGGCCAACATCATAAAACCCCGTCTCTACTAAACCCCACCCCCCCAAAAAAAAAGGACAGGCATGGTGTCAGGTGCCTGTAATTCCAGCTACTTGGGAGGCTGAGGTAGAATTGCTTCAACCTGGGAGGTGGAGGTTGCAGTGAGCCAAGATCATGCCACTGCACTCTAGCCTGGGTAACAGAGCAAGACTCCATCTCAAAAAAAAAAAAAAAGTAGAGATGAACTAAAGGAGATTGAGACATGAAAATCAATTCAAATATCAACAAAATCAGTAGCTTAAAAATAATTAAATAGATATACCACTAATTGGACTAATAAAAAGTAAATGTAAATAAACACAGTCAAAAATGACAAGGCAAATGTTAGCACTGACACCACAGAAATATAGCCATAGAATGAAAAATTGCCATCAGAGAATATTATGAAAACCTCTGTGCACATAAACCAGAAAATCTAGAAGAAATGGATAAATTCCTGGACACAGCCTCCCAAGACTAAAGCAGAAAGAAATCAAATCCCTGAACAGACCAATAATAAGTTCTAAAACTGAGTTAGTAACAAACAGCCTACCAATCAAAAAAGGCCCAGGGCCAAACAGATTCAAAGATAAATTCTAACAGCTGTACAAAAAAGAGCTGGTACAATTCATGCTGAAACGATTCCAAAAAATGAGAAAAAGGAACTCCTCCCTAACTCGTTCTATAAGGACAGCATCATCCTGATACAAAAAACCTGGCAGAGACACACAAAAAAGAGAAAACTTTAGGCCAATGTCCTTGATGAACATCAATGTGAAAATGTTCAACAAATACTGGCAAACCGAATTCAGTAGCATACAAAAAAGTTTATCCACCATGATAAAGTAGGCTTTATCCCTGGGACACAAGGGTGATTCAACATACACAAATCAATAAATGTGATTCATCACATAAACAAAACTAAAGGTAAAAACCACATGATTGTCTCAATAGATGCAGAAAAGGCTTTCAATAAAACTCAACAGGTTTCATGTTAGAAACATTCAATAAACTAAGTATCGAAGGAACATATCTCAAAATAATAAGAGCCATGGATGACAAACTCACAGCCGACATCATAATGAATGGGCAAAACTAAAAGCATTCAAAACCGGCACAAGACAATGATACCCTCTCTCACCACTCGTAATCAACATAATATTGGAAGTCTTGGCCAGAGCAATCAGGAAACAGAAAAATAAATGAATAAATAAATAAATAAATGGCATCCAAGTAGGAAGACAAAAAGTCAACTTATCCTTGTTTGCAGACGACATAATCCTATATCTAGAAAACACCATAGTCTTAGCTCAAAATCTTCTTAAGCTGATAAACAACTTCAGTAAAGAATCAAGATTCAAAATAAATGTGCAAAAATCACTAACATTTCTATACATCAACAATAGTCAAGCTGAGAGCCAAATCAGAAAGGCAATCCCATTCACAATTGCCACCAAAAGAACAAAATACCTAGGAATACAGCTAACCAGAGAGGTAAAAGATCTCTACAAGAAGAACTACAAAACACTGCTCAAAGGAACCAGAAATGACACAAACAAATGGAAAAACGTAACATGTTCATGTATAGGAAGAATCAATATCCTTCAAATGGCCATACTGCCCAAAGCAAATTATAGATTAAATACTATTCCTATGAAACAACCATTGACTTTTTTCACAGAACTAGAAAAAAAACAATTTTAAAATTCATATAGAACTAAAAAATAACCCAAATAGCCAAGGCAATCATAAACAAAAAGAACAATGCCAGAGGAATCACACTACCCAATTTTAAACTATTCTACAGGTCTACACTAACCAAAACAGCATGGTGCTGGTACAAAAACAGAAACATAGACTAATGGAACAGAATAGAGAGCCAAGAAATAAGGCCACACGTCTTCAACTATCTGATCTTTGGCAAACCTGACAAAAACAAGCAATGGGGGTCTATTCAATAAATGGTGCTATGATAACTAGCTAGCTATATGCAGAAGATATAAAACCCAAAACTATAAAATCCCTAGAAGACCAACTAGGCAATACCATTCTGGACATAGAAACAGGCAAAGATTTAATGACAAAGACACTAAAAGCCATTGCAATGAAAGCAAAAATTGACAAATGTGAACTAATTAAACAAAAGAATTTCTGCATAGCAAAGGAAACTATCAACAGAGTGAACAGACAGCCTACAGAATGGGAGAAAATGTTTGCAAAGTATGCATCTGACAAAGGTCTAGTATCCATCATCTATAAGGAACGTAAACCAATTTACAAAACATAAATAAATAAATAAAACCCCATTAAAAAGTGAGCAAGGATATAGACAGTTTGCAAAACAAGACATATGTGCATCCAACAAGCATAAAAAAAGCTCAACATGACTGATCATTAGAGAAATGCAAACCAAAACCACACTGAGATACCATCTCACACCTGTCAGAATGGCTATTACTAAAAATTCCAAAAAAACAGATGCTGGGGAGGCTGCAGAGAAAAAGGTACTCTTACACACTGTTGGTGGGAGTGTAAATTAGTTCAACCATTGTGGAAGACAATGTGATGATTCCTCAAAGACCTAAAAACAGAAATACCATTTGACCCATCAATTGCAGTACTGGGTATATAACCAAAGGAATACAAATTATTTCATCATAAAGGCACATACATGCGTATGTTTATTGCAGAACTATTTACAATAGCAAAGACATGGAATCAACCTATATGCCCATCAGTGGTTGACTGAATAATGAAAATGTGGTACATGTACACCATGGAATACTATGCAGCCATAAAAAATAATGATATCATGTCTTTTGCAGGAACATGGATGGAGCTGGAGGTCATTATCCTCAGCAAAATAATGCAGAAATAGAAAACCAAGTACTACATGTTTTCACTTATAAGTGGGAGCTAAATGACAAGAACATGTGAAAATATAGAGGGAAACAACAGACACTGGGGCATACTGGAAAGTGGAGGCTGGGAGGAGGGAGAGGATCAGGAAAAATAACTAATGGCTACTTGGCTTAATACCTGGGTGATAAAATAATCTGTACAACAAACGCTCATGACTTTAGTTTATGTATATAAAAAATCTGCACATGTATTCATGAACTTAAAAGTTAAATTATAAAACATAAAAAATGAAATATTCAATGCAAGGAAGACTCAATCCACCTGATAAACTTAATTGTCTTATTTTCAGGAATTGCCACAGGCAACTCAATCTCTAGGAACCACCAGGCTCATCAGTCAGCAGTCATCAACATTAAGGCAAAGTTCCAGTAAAAGATTATCACTCACTGAAGTCTCAGATGATCATTAGTTTTTGCAGCAGTATTTTAAAAATTAATATATGTACTTTTTAGACATAGTGCTACTGTACACTTAATACACTATGATGTGGAGTAAATATAACTTTTATATGTACTGGAAAACTGAAATAATTGTGTGACTTGTTTTATTGCAATAGTCACTTTATTGCAACGTGTTGGAACTAAACCCAAATTATCTCCAAAGTATACATGTGCTTGTTCTCAAAATGTTAATGTTTTAGTCTTACTTATTGTGACACTGGAAAACTAGAACTGCCATGCCAGATGGCAGCTAAAATATCTCAAAATGTTGAGATTCTTTGATTCCATGACTCATTGGATTCCATTATTTCAAACAGTATGCTGCTACTGTTTATTGAGTACTCAGTATGTGACATACACCTTGATAGGCATTTTCTATATATCACCTCAAATTCTAATAATAAATTGATATGCTGAGAGCCCATCTCCAAAAGCTCTGCATCCTGCCCTGGGGATGCTGCTGCTGCCATCAGCTACTGTGCCAGGGAGGGAAAAATGAGGATGAGCACTTTCATGCACCCCAAGTATAAATACTGCTACTGCTACTGCAGGCTACTGAGAGACCAACATGCAAACAAACCACATGCCTCACACCTGCCTACCTCCCTCAAAGTTGTTTGCCTAGATGTTCGTTCTGAGAGGGGCCTGCTCTTCCTTGTGGAAGGCCCAGAATGCAACCATTATTGCCCTACCTGAATATTCCATAGGTGGCCTGGGACCAGCCTGCCCCTTTCTATCACAGCCACCTCCTGAACCCAGTAGACCTGTGGACAACTTCACTGACATGATCCCATCCCTCCGATAATTGGGCATGCCATCCAGGGTCCTACGAATAAGATTTGTGATCCAATCTCTAGTGGAGGAGGACCCACCATAGTCAGAACTAAGAAGAGAGTATAGCATGAGTTTATGCTGTGGCAAAGGAGCTGAGGACCACATTCTTCACTAAACTGGACCAGGAAGGGTGTGGCCTAGGAGCTGCAATTTCTGCCCAGGGCAAGAGTTTTGCAGCCTGGGGTGCTTTCACAATCTCTAATTTAGACCACTTCGGTCTGTGTGAAAAGTTTTGGCCAGCTACCAGTAGCCAGACACTGGTTGGAAACCCACTTGGTCAGAAGCATGAGAGGTAGGAGAGTCTCAATATCAACTGCTGGACAGTAGAAACTGGGCAACCCATCTGTCTCTGTGTGGGCTCTTTGGCATGCAAAAGATGCTTCCACCCCTCCCTGGAAATTTGTTACAGTGGCTTGATAAATGCTCTGGAAACCCATTAGGGTCTGTGCTTGCAGCTGCTGTTAAGGAGCCTGGGCACAGGCTTGCCCAACCCAGACCTACCCAGCCTTTTCTTCCCCTACCTGTCTCAATGGCAAAAACTAGGACAGAGACTCCTAAGAGTTCCACAGCCCCGTACATCACCTCGTAAACCAGAGGAGTTCTCCTTGCTAGAAAAGTTCCAAAAATCTCACTGCCACCACTGCAACTGCTTCTCTCCAGCAAATGTCATTTACTGGCCAGGAGGTCCACCTGCAAAGCCCATTACAACATCTGCTGACACTATTGCACAGTGTTTGGTTGGTTCTTACCCACAAGCACCACCTACTGGTATGGAGGTTGAAATGCATAATTCGATGCAAACTCCTGATAGAAGTGCAATGGGGGATGCACTGGGGAATGAGATAAGCTTCCTGAGATCTCCACTATACCAGCCCCACCAGAGGCAGTGGGCCTGCTCCCACACCCAGTACATTACTACTGTAACCAACATTTATTAAAGAAACCACACAAAAGCTATCTATAACCAAGAAACTCATGCAGACCCTTGTCAATGAAAGAACCCAGAACCAAAGACAAAAGGACCTACATGACATACATTAAACTTACATGCTCATGGAAAAAAAATACTATCAAAAAGAAAGTAATTCAAAAATAATAATCAGACTGATGAAAAGGAACCCCGGAAACGATTCTGGAAGTAAGAAAACACAGAGTGTTGCAACACCAACAATGGATCACATAAGATTTTTAGAAAAAATTTTAAACAAAATGAAATCTTTGAAATATCAGAACAAAATTAAAATATTGATCTTAAGAAAGCTCTATGATATCCAAGAGAAAGTTTGAAAAAACAGAAATGAGAAAAGCACTTCAGGATATGAAGGAAAAATTCACTGAAAAGATACACACAGACACACACACACAAACCTATATATATATTTAACAGAACTTCTGAAAATAAAAAAAAATTAAAGGAAACAAAATACTATTAAAAGCTTTAACAATTGACTAGACAAAGCAGAAGAAAAAAATCAGGGCTTAAGGCAGGTCTTTCAAATTAACTCAGTAAGAAAAAATAATGAAAACAAATTAAAAATAAACAAAGGCTTTCAGAAATATAGAATTATGTAAAATGCCCAAGCCTACAAGTTATAAGTATTCCTTGGGAGAAGAAGAAATAAAGTAAAAACTTTGGAAAGCTCATTCGATGAAATAATACAGGAAAACATCTATAGTCTTTCCAGAGATATGGACATTTTGGTAACAGAAGCTCAGAGAGCTCCAGAAAGACACACTTCAAGATAGATTTCACTAAGGCATATGGTTATCAGATTATCTAAAGTCAATGTAAAGAAAAAAATCCTAAGACCAGCAAAACAAAAGTGTCTAATCACTTATAAAGGAAATTCCATCAGACTAACAATGGACTTCTCAGCAGAAATCTTAAAAGCCAGAAGAGATTGCAGTTCTATTTTCATTCTTCTTAAACAAAACAACTGTCAGACAAAAATTTTGTTTCCTTCGTTACTAAGCTTTATGCATAAAGAAGAAACAAAGTCTTTTCCCAGAAAATCAAATGCAAAGGAAATTTGTCACTACTAGACTGACTACAAGAAATGCTCAAAGAAGATCTAAATATGAAAATAAAATGTTGATATGCACCATCATATCAACACACAAAAGTATAAAATTCACAGATCTTCTAAAACAATTACAGAATTGATACCACGAAGTAACTAGGAGATTATGACAAGAACAAAAGCTTACACACCTATATTAATCTTGAAGATAAATGAACTAAATATCCCCACTTAAAAGATACAGATTGGCAGTATGGCAGTATGGATAAAAAAGTAGGATCCAATTACATGCTGCCTGCAAGAAACCAACTTAACTGGTAAAGACAGTTACAGACTCATGCTAAAAGAGTGGAAAAATATCTTCCATGCAAATGAAAAACAAAAGAAAGCAGGAGTAGTTGCATTTATATAAAACATCCTAGAGGAAAACTTGAGCAATACCATTCAGGACATAAGCATGGGCAAAGACTTCATGTGTAAAACATCAAAAGCAATGACAACAAAGGCCATAACAGAAAAATGGGATGTAATGAAACTAAATAGCTTCTGCACAGCAAAAGAAACTATCATCAGAGTGAACAGCCTACAGAATGGGAGAAAATTTTTGCAATCTATCCATCTGACAAAGGGCTAATATCCAGAATCTACAAAGAATTTAAACAAATTTACAAGAAAAAAACAAACAGCCCCATCAAAAAGTGGGCAAAGGATATGAACAGACACTTCTCAAAAGTAGATTATGCAGCCAACAAACATGAAAAAATGCTTATCATCACTGGTCATTAGATAAATGCAAATCAAAACCACAATGAGATACCATCTCATGCCAGTTAGAATGGCAATCATTAAAAAGTCAGGAAACAGATGCTGGAGAGGATGTGGAGAAATAGGGATGCTTTTACACTCACACTGTTGGTGGAAGTGTAAATTAGTTCAACCATTGTGGAAGACAGTGTGGCGATTCCTCAAGCATCCAGAGCTAGAAATACCATTTGACCCAGCAATCCCATTACTGGGTATATACCCAAAGGATTATAAATCATTCTACTATAAAGACACATGCACACATATGCTTATTGTGGCACTATTCACAATAGCAAAGACTTGGAAACAATCCAAATGTCCATCAATAATAGACTGGATAAAGAAAATGTGGCTTATATCCACCATGGAATACTGTGCAGCCGTAAACAACGATGAATTCATGTCCTTTGCAGGGACATGGATGTAGCTGGAAACCATCATTCTCAGCAAACTATCACAAGAACAGAAAATGAAACACTGCATGTTCTCACTCACAAGTGGGAGTTGAACAATGAGAACACATGGATATAGGGAGGGGAACATCATATATTGGGGCCTGTCAGGGGGTAGGGGCCTAGGGGAGGGATAACATGAGGAGAAATACCTAATATAGGTTACGGGTTGATGGGTGCAGCAAACCACCATGGCACCTATGTAACAAACCTGCACATTATGTACATGTGACCCAGAACTTAAAGTATAATTTAAAAAAGTAAAAAAATTAAAAAAAGTGCTTTAAATCAACAATAGTAACGAAAAGACAAAGAAGGTCTTTATATAATGAAAAAGGAATCAGTGTAACAAGAAAATGTAACAATCCTAAATATATGTGTGCTCAGCACTGGATCACCTAGATTCATAAAACAAATACTACTAGATCTAAGAAAAGAGACAGATGATAAACTAATTATAGTGTGTGACTTTAACACTGCACCAATAGTGCTAGACAGATCATCAAGGCAGAAAATCAACCAAAAAATACTGGATGTAATTTGGACTGCAGAACAAAAGATATTAAATTGATAGACTGGTAGCTAAATTAACCATAAAAGGGAGAAGATGCAAATAAACACAATCAGCAATAAAAAAGTATATTCCAGGGGTTCCAAGATGGCTGAATAGGAACAGCTCCAGTCTACAGCTCCCAGCGTGAGTGATGCAGAAGACAGATGATTTCTGCATTTCCAACTGAGGTACTGGGTTCATCTCACTGGGGTTTGTCTGATAGTGGGTGCAGGACAGTGGGTGCAGAACAGTGGGTGCAGTGCACCAAGCATGAGCCGCAGCAAGGTGAGGCATCGCCTCACCCAGGAAGCGCAAGGGGTCAGGGAATTCACTTTCCTAGCCAAGGAAAGGGGTGACAGATGGTACCTGGAAAATCGGGTCACTCCCACCCTAATACTGCACTTTTCCAATGGTCTTAGCAAAAGGCACACAAGGAGATTATATCCCGCACCTGGCTCAGAGGGTCCTATGCCCACGGAGCCTCGCTCATTGCTAGCACAGCAGTCTGAGATCAAACTGCAAGATGGCAGCAAGGCTGGGGGAGGGGCGCCTGCCATTGCTGAAGCTTAAGTAGGTAAACAAACTGGACAGAAAGCTTGAACTGGGTGGAGCCCACCACAGCTCAAGGAGGCCTGCCTGCCTCTGTAGACTCCACCTCTGGGGGCAGGGCATAGACGAACAAAAGGCAGCAGAAACCTCTGCAGAATTAAATGTCCCTGTCTGACAGCTTGGAAGAGAGTAGTGGTTATCCCAACACGCAGCTTGAGATCTGAGAACACACAGACTGCCTCCTCAAGTGGGTCTCTGGCCCCCGAGCAGCCTAACTGGGAGGCACCCCCCAGTAGGGGCAGACTGACACCTTACACAGCTGGGTACCCCTCTGAAACGAAATTTCCAGAGGAACAATCAAGCAGCAACATTTGCTGTTCACCAATATCCACTGTTCTGCAGCCTCTGCTGCTGATACCCAGGCAAACAGGGTCTGGAGTGGACCTCCAGCAAACTCCAACAGACCTGCAGCTGAGGGTCCTGATTGTTAGAAGAAAAACTAACAAACAGAAAGGACATCCACACCAAAACCCAATCTGTCCATCACCATCATCAAAGAACAAAGGTAGATAAAACCACAAAGATGGGGAAAAAACAGAGCAGAAAAGCTGAAAATTCTAAAAATTAGAGTGCCTCTCCTCTTCCAAAGGAATGAAGCTCCTCACCAGCAATGGAACAAAGCTGGATGGAGAATGACTTTGATGAGGTGAGAGAAGAAGGCTTCAGAAGATCAAACTTCTCTGAGCTAAAGCAGGAGGTTCAAAACCATGGCAAAGAAGTTTAAAAACTTGAAAAAAGATTAGACGAATGGCTAACTAGAATAACCAATGCAGAGAAGTCCTTAAAGGACCTGATGGAGCTGAAAACCATGGCATGAGAACTACATGACGAATGCACAAGCTTCAGTAACTGATGTGATCAACTGGAAGAAAGGGTATCAGTGATGGAAGATCAAATGAATGAAATGAAGCCAGAAGAGAAGTTTAGAGAAAAAAGAACAAAAAGAAATGACCAAAGCCTCCAAGAAATATGGGACTATGTGAAAAGACCAAATCTACGTCTGATTGGTGTACCTGAAAGTGACAGGGAGAATGGAACCAAGTTGGAAAACACTCTGCAGGATATTATCCAGGAGAACTTCACCAATCTAGCAAGGCAGGCCAACATTCAAATTCAGGAAATACAGAGAACACCACAAAGATACTCCTCAAGAAGAGCAACTCCAAGACACATCATTGTCAGATTCACCAAAGTTGAAATGAAGGAAAAAATGTTAAGGGCAGCCAGAGAGAAAGGTCGGGTTACCCACAAAGGGAAGTCCATCAGACTAACAGCTGATCTCTCGGCAGAAACTCTATAGGCCAGAAGAGAGTGGGGGCCAATATTCAACATTCTTAAAGAAAGGAATTTTCAAGCCAGAATTTCATATCCAGCCAAACTAAGCTTCATAAGTGAAGGAGAAATAAAATCCTTTACAGACAAGCAAATGCTGAGTGATTTTGTCACCACCAGGCCTGCCCTACAAGAGCTCTTGAAGGAAGCACTAAACATGGAAAGGAACAACTGGTACAAGCCACTGTAAAAGCATGCCAAATTGTAAAGACCATCAATGCTAACGAGACAGAAAGTTAACAAGGTCATCCAGGAATGCATCAACTAACAAGCAAAATAACCAGCTAACATCACAATCACAGGATCAAATTCACACATAACAATATTAACCTTAAATGTAAATGGACTAAATGCTCCAATTAAAAGACACAGAATGGCAAATTGGGTAAAGAGTCAAGACCCACCAGTGTGCTGTATTCAGGAGACCCATCTCATGTGCAGAGACACACATAGGCTCAAAATAAAGGGATGCAGGAAGATCAACCAAGCAAATGGAAAACAAAAAAAAAGGCAGGGGTTGCAATGCTAGTCTCTGATAAAACAGACTTTAAACCAACAAAGATCAAAAGAGACAAAGAAGGCCGTTAAATAATGGTAAAGGGATCAATTCCACAAGAAGAGCTAACTATCCTAAACATACATGCACCCAATACAAGAGCACCCAGATTCATAAAGCAAGTCCTTAGAGACCTATAAAGAGACTTAGACTCCCACACAATAATAATGGGAGACTGTAACACCCCACTGCCAACATTAGACAGATCAATGAGACAGAAAGTTAACAAGGACATCCAGGAATGGAACTCAGCTCTGCACCAAGCGGACCTAATAGACATCTACAGAACTCTCCACCACAAATCAACAGAATATACATTCTTCTCAGCACCACACCACACTTATTCCAAAATTGACCACTTAGTTGGAAGTAAAGCACTCCTCAGCAAATGTAAAAGAACAGAAATTATAACAAACTGTCTCTCAGACCACAGTGCAATCACACTAGAACTCAGGATTAAGAAACTCACTCAAAACTGCTCAACTACATGGAAACTGAACAATGTGCTCCTGAATCACTACTGGCTACAGAAAGAAATGAAGGCAGAAATAAAGATGTTCTTTGAAACCAACAAGAACAAAGACACAACATACCAGAATCTCTGGGACACATTCAAAGCAGTGTGTAGAGGGAAATTTATAGCAATAATGCCCACAAGAGAAAGCAGGAAATATCTAAAATTGAGACCCTAACATCACAATTAAAAGAACAAGAGAAGCAAGAGCAAACACATTCAAGAGCTAGCAGAAGGCAAGAAATAACTATGATCAGAGCAGAACTGAAGGAGATAGAGACACAAAAAACCCTTCAAAAAATCAATGAACCCAGGAGCTGGTTTTTGGAAAAGATCAACAAAATTGATAGACCACTAGCAAGACTAATAAAGAAGAAAAGAGAGAAGAACCAATTAAATGCAATAAAAAATGATAAAGGGGATATCACCACTGATCCCACAGAAATACAAACTACCATCAGAGAATACTATAAACACCTCTATGCAAATAAACTAGAAAATCTTGAAGAAATGGATAAATTCCTGGACACATACACCTTCCCAAGACTAAACCAGGAAGAAGTTGAATCCCTGAATAGACCAATAACAGGCTCTGAAATTGAGGCAATAATTAATAGCTTACCAACCAAAAAAAAGTCCAGGACCAGATGGATTCACAGCCGAATTCTACCAGAGGTACAAGGAGGAGCTGGTACCATTCCTTCTAAAACTATTCCAATCATTAGAAAAAGAGGGAATCCTACATAACTCATTTTATGAGGCCAGCATCATCCTGATACCAAGGCCTGGCAGAGACACAACAAAAAAAGAGAATTTTAGACCAATATCCCTGATGAACATCGATGCAAAAATCCTCAATAAAATACTGGCAAAAAGAATCCAGCAACACATCAAAAGCTTATCCACCATGATCAAGTGGGCTTCATCCCTGGGATGCAATGCTTGTTCAACATATGCAAATCAACAAACATAATCCAGCATATAAACAGAACCAACAACAAAAACCACATGATTATCTCAATAGATGCAGAAAAGGCCTTTGACAAAATTCAACAGCCCTTCATGCTAAAAACTCTCAATAAATTAGGTATTGAAGGGAAGTATCTCAAAATAATAAGAGCTATTTATGACAAACCCACAGCTAACATCATACTCAACGGGCAAAAACTGAAAGCATTCCCTTTGAAAACTGGCATAAGACAGGGATGCCCTCTCTCACCACTCCTATTCAACATAGTGTTGGAAGTTCTCGCCAGGGAAATCAGGGAAGAGAAAGAAATGAAGGGTATTCAATTAGGAAAAGAGGAAGTCAAATTGTCCCTGTTTGCAGATGACATGATTGTATCTCTAGAAAACCCCATCGTCTCAGCCCAAAATCTCCTTATGCAGATAAGCAACTTCAGCAAAGTCTCAGGATACAAAATCAATGTACAAAAATCACAAGCATTCTTATACACCAATAACAGACAAACAGAGAGCCAAATCATGAGTGAACTCCCATTCACAATTGCTACAAAGAAAATAAAATACCCAGGAATCCAACTTACAAGGGATGTGAAGGTCCTCTTCAAGGAGAACTACAAACCACTGCTCAATGAAATAAAAGAGGATACAAATGAATGGAAGAACATTCCATGCTCATGGATAGGAAGAATCAATATCGTGAAAATGGCCATACTGCCCAAGGTAATTTATAGATTCAATGCCATCACCATCAAGCTACCAATGACTTTATTCAAAGAATTTGAAAAAACTACTTTCAAGTTCATATGGAACCACAAAAGAGCCAGCATTCCCAAGTCAATCCTAAGCCAAAAGAACAAAGCTGGAGGCATCAAGCCACCTGACTTCAAAAAATACTACAAGGCTACAGTAACCAAAACAGCATGGGACTGGTACCAAAACAGAGTTATAGAACAATGGAATAGAATGGAGCCCTCAGAAATAATGCCACACATCTACAACTATCTGATCTTTGACCAACCTGACAAAAACAAGCAAGGGGGAAAGGATTCCCTATTTAATAAACGGTGCTGGGAAAACTGGCTAACCATATGTAGAAAGCTGAAACTGGATCCCTTCCTTACACCTTATACAAAAATCAATTCAAGATGGATTAAAGACTTAAACGTTAGACCTAAAACCATAAAAACCCTAGAAGAAAACCTAGGCAATACCATTCAGGACATAGGCATGGGCAAGGACTTCATGTCTAAATCACCAAAAGCAATGGCAACAAAAGCCAAAATTGACAAATGGGATCTAATTAAACTAAAGAGCTTCTGCACAGCAAAAGAAACTACCATCGGAGTGAACAGGCAGCCTACAGAATGGGAGAAAATTTTTGCAATCTACTCATCTGACAAAGGGTTAATATCCAGAATCTACAATGAAGTCAAACAAATTTACAAGAAGAAAACAAACAACCCCATCAAAAAGTGGGCAAAGGATATGAATAGACACTTCTCAAAAGAAGACATTTATGCAGCCAAAAGACACATGAAAAAATGCTCATCGTCACTGGCCATCAGAGAAATGCAACTCAAAACCAGAATGAGATATCATCTCACACCAGTTAGAATGGTAATCATTAAAAAGTCAGGAAACAACAGGTGCTGGAGAGGATGTGGAGAAATAGGAACACTTTTGCACTGTTGGTGGGATTGTAAACTAGTTCAACCATTGTGGAAGTCAGTGTGGCGATTCCTCAGGGATCTAGAACTAGAAATACCATTTGACCCAGCCATCCCATTACTGGGTATATACCCAAAGGACTATAAATCATGCTGCTATAAAGACACATGCACACGTATGTTTATTGCAGCACTATTCACAATAGCAAAGACTTGGAACCAACCCAAATGTCCAACAATGATAGACTGGATTAAGAAAATGTGACACATATACACCATGGAATACTATGCAGCCATGAAAAATGATGAGATCATGTCCTTTGTAGAGACATGGATGAAATTGAAAATCATCATTCTCAGTAAACTATCACGAGAACAAAAAACCAAACACCGCATGTTCTCACTCATAGATGGGAATTGAACAATGAGAACACATGGACACAAGAAGGGGAACATCACACTCTGGGGACTGTTGTGGGGTGGGGGGACGGGGGAGGAATAGCATTAGGAGATATACCTAATGCTAAATGACAAGTTAATGGGTGCAGCACACCAGCATGTCACATGTATACATATGTAACTAACCTGCACATTGTGTACATGTACCCTAAAACTTAAAATATAACAATAAAAATAAAAAAATAATAAAAATAAATAAATAAATAATTGAAAAATTTAAAAAAAGAAGACATTTATGCAGCCGAAAGACACATTAAAAAAATGCTCATCATCACTGGCCATCAGAGAAATGCAAATCAAAACCACAATGAGATACCATCTCACACCAGTTAGAATGGAGATCATTAAAAGATCAGGAAACAACAGGTGCTGGAGAGGATGTGGAGAAATAGGAACACTTTTACACTGTTGGTGGAACTGTAAACTAGTCCAACCATTGTGGAAGTCAGTGTGGCAATTCCTCAAGGATCTAGAACTAGAAATACCATTTGACCCAGCCATCCCATTACTGGGTATATACCCAAAGTTTTATAAATCATGCTGCTATAAAGACGCATGGATACGTATGTTTATTGTGGCACTATTCACAATAGCAAAGACTTGGAACCAACCGAAATGTCCAACAATGATAGACTGCATTAAGAAAATGTGGCATATATACACCATGGAATACTATGCAGCCATAAAAAAGGATGAGTTCATGTCCTTTGTAGAGACATGGATGAAGCTGGAAACCATCATTTTCATCAAACTATCACAGTGAGAAAAAACAAAAACTGCATGTTCTCACTCATAGGTGGGAACTGAACAATGAGAACACTTGGACACAGGAAGGGGAACATCACACTCTGGGGTCTGTTGTGGGGTAGGGGACAGGGGAGGGATAGCATTAGGAGATATACGTAATGTAAATGACGAGTTAATGGGTGCAGCACACCAACATGGCACATGTATACATATGTAACAAACCTGCACGTTGTGCACATGTACCCTAGAACTTAAAGTAAAATAAAAAAAGAAAGAAAAAAATTTTTTTAATTAAAAAATAAAGTTCATAAATTTATATGTGTGTCATTTTGATATAAATAAAATTTAAATCAAAAAAGCATATTCCAATCCATACCACAAAAGTACAAAACATTATCAGACTACTATGGATAGCTCTATAGTCACAAATTAGAAAAATCTAGAAGAATGGATAAATTCGTGGAAACATATAACCACCCAAAATTGAACCAGGAAGAAATAGAAATTTCAACCAGACCAATAACAAGTAGTGAGATTGAATCAGTAATAAAATATTACCCAACAAAAAGAGCCCAGGACCACATGTATTTACAACTGAATTCTAGCAGACGTATGAAGAAAAATTGACATTAATCCCACTGAAATGGTTTCAAAAAATTGAGGAGGAGAGAATCTTCTAAAAATCATTCAATGAAGCCAATATCACCCTGATTCCAAAGCCAGAAAAGAACACAACAAAAAAGAAATCTACGTGACAGAATTTTTAATGATAAACCCTCAACAAAATACTAGCAAACTGAATCCAACAGCACGTCAAATATATAACTCATCACAATTGAATGGGTTTTATTCCAGGGACACAAAGATCGTTCAACATATGCAAATCAATAGGCATGATTGACCACAAACACAAAATTAAAACAAGAAATAATATGATCATCTAGATGCAAAAAATTGTGTGATAATATTCAATATCACTTCATTATAAAATCCCACAACAAACTAGTCATTGAAGAAACATATCTCAAAACAATACGAGCCATATACAACAAACTCACAGTAATGTAGTTTGGATATTTTTACCTGCCTAAACCTCAGGTTGAATTTTAATTCCCAATACTGGAGGTGGGGAGTGGTGGGAAATGTTTAAATCATGGGGATGGATTCCTCATGGCTTGGTGCTGTCAACATGATAGGTGAGTTCTTGTGAGATCTGGTCATTTAAAAGTGTGTGGCAACTCACCCCTCCCCCGCCACTCTCTCTTCCTTAATTCTGCTCTGACCACTGACATGCCTGGTCTCCTTTCACCTTTCAACATGATTGTAAACTTCCTGAGCCCTCCCCAGAATCCAAGCAGATGCCAGCATCATGCTTCCTATAAGCCTGCAGAACAATGAGCCAATTAAACTTTTTTCTTTATAAATTATTCAGCCTCAGATATTTCTTTAGACCAATGCAAGAATGGCCCAATACCACAGCAAATATAATAAACGAGGAAAAATTAAATGCATTTTCCCAGAAACCAAACTGGATAAGGATGTCCACTTTCATCACTCCTATTCAATATAGTACTGGAAGTCCTAGCCAGAGCAATTAAGCAAGGAGAAAGAAATAAAAGGTATCTAAATTGAAAAACAATAAGTCAAGTTATTTTTGTTTGCTCATGACCTGGTATAACTAGATAATCCTAAAGACAACTCCAAAGGATCCTAGATTTGATATATTACTTCAGTAAACTTTCAGGATACAAAATCACCATACAAAAAGCAGTAACTTTTCTATACCCCAATAATATTCAATATAAAACAAAATCAATAACTCAATCCCATTTACAATAGCCACATGAAAAAAAAGTTAATAATACATCTAACAATCTAACAAAAGAATTAAAGATCTCTCCAAGGTCAACTACAAAACACTGATGATAGAAGTAATATTATACATGACCCAAACAAATGAAAAAATATCCCATGTTCACGGATTGGAAGAATTAATATCATTAAAATGACTGTACTGCTTACAGCATTCTACAGATTCAATGTAATTTCTATTAAATTACCAGTCATTTTCCACTGAATTAGAAAAAAAATTCCTAAACTTAATATGGAACCATAAAAAGCCCTAAAAGCCAAATTAATCTTGAGCAAAAAGAACATGTTCAGAAGCATCACATTACCTAATGTCAAATTATACTAGGAGACTATGGTAATTAAAACAGCATGGTACTGGTACAAAAACAGACACATAGACTAATGGAACAGAACAGAGAACCCAACAATAAAGCCACATACCTAAAACCAATTGATCTTTGACAAAGTTGACAAAAATATACATTGAGAAAAAAATTTCTTTTTCAAAAAATAGTACTGAGATAACTGGCTATCCTTATGCACGAGAATGAAACTGGACCCGTACCTACTACCATATACAAAAACTAACTCAAAATGGATGAAAGACTTAAATGTAAGACGTCGAACTACACAAATCCTAGAAGAAAACCTAGGAAATACCCATTTTTATATGGACTTTGCCAAAGAGTTTATGGCTAAGTCCCCAAAAAGCAATTGCAATAAAAACAAAAATTGACGAGTGAGACCTGATTAAACTAAAAGGCTACTACTAGAGAATGTATTTGGAGGCATTACATTACTTGATGTTAAATTATACTACAGTACTACAGTAATTAAAACAGCATGGTACTAGCACCAAAACAGACAACATAGATCAATGGAACAGAATAGAGAACCTAGCAACAAAGCCGCATACCTACAACCAACTGATCTTTGACAAAAATTGACAAGCCAGACCTAATTAAAATAAACAGCTACTGCACAGTGAAAGAAACTATCAACAGATGAAACAGACAACCTACAGAATGGGAGAAAATATTTGCAAACTATGCATCTGACAAAGACCTAACATCCAGAATCTATAAGGATCTTAAGCAAAACTAAATAAAACCATTAAAAGTGGACAAAGGACATGAACAGGCACTCCCCAAATGAAGACTTATGAACAGCTCACAAATATTTCAAAAAATGCTCATCATCACTAGTTATCAGAGGGATGTAAATAAAAAGCACCTTACACCAGTCAGAATGGCTATTATTAACAAGTTAAAAAGTAACAGATGTTGGCAAGGCTATAGAGAAAATTTCCATTATACACTGTTAATGAGGGTGTAAATTAATTCAGCCACTATGGAAAGCAGTTTTGAGATTTCTCAAATAATTTAAAACAGAACTACCATTCCATTAAGCAATTCCATTATGGTACAAATACCTTCCCCAAAAAGTCAATCATTCTAAAAAAACAAATAAGCTACATGCACTAGTATGTTTACTGCAGCACTATTTACTATAACCAAGACATGGAGTCAACCTAAATGCCCATCAATGGTGGATTAAAGAAAATGTGGTACATATGCACCATGGAATACTATGCAGCCATACGAAAGAATGAAACCATGTCCTTTGCAGCAACATGGATTCAGCTATTATTCTAAGCAAATTAACCAAATAATTTATATTCTCACTTATAAGTGGGTGCTCAATATTGGGTACATATGAACATAAAAATGAGAACCACAGACACTGGCACTACTAGAGAGGTGAGAGAAGGAGGGGGTCAAGGGCTTAAAAACTACCTATTGGTTACTATTGTTGTAGTCTCACCAATGCACCAAGATGTAGCAGGCTCTGGTGGTCTGAGAAAATACCCAGAGTTCTTTGTCTCACATCCAAGATGATAAAGAAGTGTGGACACTAGGGTGAGGTTGGAGTGAAAGTTTAATAAGCAAAAGAAGAAAGCTCTCTGCCAGCAGAGAGGAGGGCACAAATGGGTTGCCCCCATATGAGGCAGGGATCCAGGGTTTTTACGGACTGGGAAAGGGAATGACTGTATTTAGTCTGTGGGCTGTCTTGGAGAACATGCGACTCAGCTTGGCCGAGGGCCTTGACGGGGGACCAATCAGAAAGCTTAGCCCAGGAGGACCAATCAGAAAGGTTGGCCGGGGACCTTGGCCAGGGATCAATCAGGGGCTGAAGTGATTATTCATAGAGGCTGGGCTCACAATCCAAAAAGGAAAGGAAAGTGCACACCGGAACCCACTGGAGCCCACTGCATTCATACCCACAGATGAAGAAGAAACGTTTTCCTGGGAGCCCGCAGATTATACAAAGGACAAAGGCATTTATATATCAGGGCTTGTTCCCTTATCTGATTGAACTGGAGGTTTGTGCAAGTTTTTTTTTTTAATTAATTAATTTATTTTTTTGAGATGGAGTCTCACTCTGTCGCCCAGGCTGGAGTGCAGTGATGCAATCTCCACTCACTGCAAGCTCCGCCTCCTGGGTTCACGCCGTTCTCCTGCCTCAGCCTCCCGAGTAGCTGGGACTACAGGAGCCCGCCATCAGGCCCGGCTAATTTTTTGTATTTTTAGTAGAGACGGGGTTTCACAGTCTTAGCCAGGATGGTCTCGATCTCCTGACCTCTTAATCCGTCCGCCTCGGTCTCCCAAAGTGCTGGAATTACAGGCGTGAGCCACCGCGCCCGGCCACAAGTTTTTATCTGAAGGGCTGGAGGTTCTTCTATCTGTGCAGCCATGGGCATGTCTCGAGGCAGAACCCCCTGTGCTAGTTCTCTTATTGGTGCCTGCAGTTTGATTTTCTTTCCCAGGCTGCTTTTTATGTTATGTGGGAATGAGGCACTGACCCATTCGTCGGAGGCTCTCGGGAGATCCTTCCCCTGCTGTCTACCTAAGGTAAGCTAGCCAACTCGTCTCACCATGATCATTACTGGGTGACAGGTTCAGTCATACCCCAAACTACAGCATTACTCAATATACCTTTGTAACAAACCTGCTCATATACCCCCGATTCTAATATAAAAGTTGAAAAAGAAACAAACAGTGTTCTTCAAGGACAATGAAATGAAATTTGAAATCAATATTAGAAGAAAAACTGGTAATTAAAAATATGCAGACGTTAAATGACACGCTTCTAAATAACCAACAGAACTAAGAAAAAACTCAAAAGAAATTAGAAAATACTCTGAGATAAATAAAAATGAAAACACAAGTCAAGACTTATGAGATACTTTTAAAACAGTTTTCAGAAAATTTATAGCTTTAAATGCCTACATTAAGAAAAGGAAGGATCACAAATAAAAATTCTAACTTTATACCTTCAGGAATTAAAACATAAAGCAAGCTAAAACCAATGCTAGCAGAAGAGAGAAAATAGTATTAGGGTGGTAGTAAGTGGAATAGATCATAAAAAGATGGATAAAATTAGTGAACCCAAAAGTTGGTTATTTGCTCAGATCAATAAAATTAACAAAAGTTTAATGAACTAACCAATAAAAAAAGACAGAAGACTAAATTTTTCTAAATCAGAAATAAAATAGAGAACATTGCTACCAACTACAGAAATAAAAACGATCATAATGAAATACTATAACAATTACATTTCAACAAGTTAGATAAACAAGATTCAATTGAATAATTTCCAGGAAGACACAAACTACAGCTACTGGCTAAAAAGGAAATAAAAATCTGAATTTATCTATAACAAATGAAGGCATTCAATTAGTAATTAAAAATGAAGTAGAGTATAGGTGTATATGGCTCACTGGTGAATTCTAAAAATTTAAATAATTAGTAACCATCCTTACCAAACTTTACCAAAAAAAAAAATTGAAGAGGAAGCCATATTTCCCAACTCATTTTATAAGAATAATTTTACCCTGGTATCAAAATCAGACAAAGACATCATAAGAAAAGAAAATTAAGATGAATATCTCTTATGAACATAGATGCAAAAATCTTCAACAAAATGCTAACAGAAAAATCAAACAATGTATAAGGAATACCACACAACATAATCAAGCAGGATTTACACAGAGATTCAAGGTTGATTAAACATATGAAAATCAACAATGTAATACACAACATTAATTGAAAAACAGACAAAAGCCTCATAATTATCTCAATAGAGACATAAAATTATTTGAAAAAAAATATCATTTTTGATAAGCACTCAACACATTAGTAATAAAAGGAACTACCTCAACCTTATAAAGGGCATCTCTGAAAAAGCTACAGCGAATATAATATTTAATGTGAAAGGCTTAAAGCTTCCTCCCAAGATTGGGAAAAGGCAAGTATGTTCCCTCTTGTCAATTTTATTCAACATTGTATTGAAGACTCTAGCCAGGGAAATTAGGCAAGCAAAAGAAATAAAAGACATCTAGATTGAAATTTAAGAAGTAAAACCACCTTTATTTGCAGATAACATGGTTTTATACATAGAAATTCCTAAGGAATAGACACACACACACACACACACACACACACACACACACACACCCCACACACACAAATCTATTAGAGCTAATAAAGTATTATAGTAAGTTTGCAGGATACAAGAGAAATATGAAAAAACAATCGCATTTCTGTACACTTGGAATAAACAATTTGAAAATGAAATTAAGAGAACAATTTCATTTTCAATAGTATCAGAAATAATAAAATACTTAGAATAAACTTATCAAAAGAAATGTGAGATGTGCACAAGGAAACTCCAAAATATCTTTGAAACAAATTAAAGAAAACCTAAGTGGGAAAACATCCTGTGTTTATGAGTTGAAAGACTAATTACTATTTAAAATAATTCTCAACTATATGATCTACAAAATCAAGGCAATTCTTAAACAAATTCCAGCTCACCGTTTTCATAGAAATTTACGAACTGATTCTAAAATTCGTATGTAAGTTCAAGGGACCCAGAAAAGCCAAAACAATTCTGAGTAATAAGAACAAATTTGGAGGACTCACATTTCCAGATTTTAAAACTTAGTACAAATAACAGTAGTCAAGACAGTGTGGTGTTGGCATAAGGAAAAACATAGATGAATGGAAAAACATAGATCAAAGTCCAGAAGTAAGTTGTCACATTTACAGTCACTTAATTTTCAACAAGTGTATCACGATAATTTAATGGAGGAAGAATAGTTTATTCAACAAATAGCTCTATGATAACTAGTATACATATGCAAAAAAAATTAAACTCTTACCACATATCATATTTTAAAAATTAGCTCAAAATTGAGTACAGACCAAAAGGTAAGAGCTAAAACTATAAAATTCTTCGGATAAAAATGGCAAATTATTTGTGGCATTGGATTATGCCATGGTTTCTTAGATATGACAGCAACAGTTCAAGCAACAAAAGAAGATGATAAATAGGACTGTGTAAACTTTAAATATGTGTTTATTAAATAGACCTTAGGATGAAAGTGAAAAGACAAACCTCAGTGTGGAAGAAAATATTTGCAAATCACATATCTGATAAGGGTCTAGTATACAGAATATGTAACAAGCTAAACAATAAAAAGACAAATCATATAACTTAAAAATGAAGGGTCAGAATAAACATTTTTTCAAATAAAATGTACAAATGGTCAATAGGCACATGTAAAAATGCTCAACATCAGTAGTCATTAGAGAAATATAAATTAAAACTGCAATAAAACTACTTCAAACCCACTAGAATGTCTATAACAACAACAGAAATACCATAGAAATTAACGAATGTCAGAAAGGATACAGAGAGATAGGAACCCTCATACATTGGTGGAATATAAAGTGATATAGTCACTGTGTAAAACAGTTTAGTGGTTCCTCAAATAGTTAAACATAGTTACCAAATTACTCAGTAATTTTACTTTTACGAATATGCGTGGAAGAATTGAAAACATACATCCACACAAAAACTTGTTCATGAATGCTTGTAGCATAATTATTTCTATTAGCTAACAATGAAACAACCCAGATGTACATCAACAGATGAAATGGATAAATAAATTGTGATATATTCATACAATGGAATATTATTCAGCCATAACAAATGAAGTATTGATGCATGTTACAACATAGATAAAACTTGAAAACATCACGTTAAGAAGTCAGACACAAACGGCCACATATTTTATGATTCCATTTATATAAAATGTCCAGAACAGGCAAATTCATTGACACAGAAATATTAGTGGCTGCCAGTGGATTGGAAAAGGGAAATTGGGAGTAATGCTAATGGGTACAAGAGTGATGAAAATGTTCCGGATTTAGATAGTGGTGATTGTGGCACAGATTTGTAAGTTGTACACTTTAAAGGAGTTGGTTTTATGCTATGTCAATCATATCTTAATTTTAAAAATGCATGGGGAAGAGATAGTGTCAGCACAAGTTACGAGCTGTTATTAGTCTATACTCTAGAAAGACTTCACGGCTGGGCGCGGTGGCTCACGCCTGTAATCCCAGCACTCTGGGAGGCCGAGGCAGGCGGATCACGAGGTCAGGAGATCGAGACCATCCTGGCTAACACGGTGAAACCCCGTCTCTACTAAAAATACAAAAAATTAGCCGGGCTTGGTGGCGGGCGCCTGTAGTCCCAGCTACTCGGGAGGCTGAGGCAGGAGAATGGCGTGAAGCTGGGAGGTGGAGCTTGTAGTGAGCCGAGATCGCGCCACTGCACCCCAGCCTGGGCGACAGAGCGAGACTCTGTCTAAAAAAAAAAGAAAAAAGACTTCATTGCCTCTTTCTTAAATATTTGTATATCCTTATCTACTTTTTTATTTCACAGATTTGAAAGGATTTACATTAATGATGGATACTAATTATTTAAAATGAAAATTAAAAACCTGCAAATCATAAAAAAGAAATGGGAGTTTGGCAATTGAGAATCAAATATAGTTCTGAGATTTCTGGCAACCAAGACAAAAAAGGAAGTAATAAAGTGTATTAAAGTCATAATCCAATAAGAGAAAGCATACTACTCATTGGGAGTGAGAAAATTTTCTTGTGTCCTCCTAAGAAGAATGATAGATCTGTAAGTTAGGATAACATAAAGTTATAAGTGTAGATAATTTATATAGCAGTATTTTTTACTCAAGTTGATGAATTTTTCAACTGTTTTCTCACATTGATTCTTGAGAAGGGCGCTCTTGATGGATGACATCAGGTAAGCATATAAGTGGGTATTAGGCAGAAAACCAGTTGAGTTGGGAAGCTCAGTTTGTGCAGAAAGAGCCAAGTTAGGTGAGTATGTGAATATAGCTGGGGCCTAGTCTGGAAATGCTGGTCAGTTTGTTTTGCTAGGCCCACTGGAGCCTTGGGTCATTGGCCCTCTATTTGTCTGTGTCATAAGGAGTGTGTTGGGGAAGGTAAAGCTTTCAGCAAAGCAAGTCCCTTGCCTTTGAGCAGCGTCAGTCACAAGCTCCAAGTTTGCCATAAAAATATGAAGGGACAACTTCTCTCCCAGAAACCCTGGTGGTCCTCCTGATTATAAAAGGAAGAGTGATAGGAAGGCCTGCCTGTGGAAACCTGACGCAGGAAACCTGAGTCCTTCGGAATTTTACCGTGAAGAAAGGAGAGTTAGTTGATCCAATTTACTTTGATTCTTCCCTAACGTTAGACTAATTTGCTACTGAAGGACCCTTCCAGGGGCAGACCTGACACTGACTTTTATCTCCTGCAACCAGGTGGGCCATCTGTTCTTCTGGCTGACATCTGGCTGTTGGATAAAATAGAAGTCATGCACAGATGTCCTTTTCCAGTGACTGACTGGTACCTAAAAATAGAGGCAACCACATTATCCCAGCACTTCTCCAAAGCTGTCACTAAGGAAGACTTAGTAGTCTATTGGCAACCAGATTTGACCAGTTATTCTCCTGAATTACTCAGCATTGTAACTTTTAGTGGAATGCTGATAGCTTTTTCCAGTGGGCTGACATTAATATCAAAGGTTTCTTCCGGGCCTGGAATGGAAGCTCTGTTGAAAGCTAATCCTAAGGGGGTCTCTGCACAGCTAAGGAAAAAAAAAAAAAAAAACATCGAGGCTTGAGTTTTCAAAATAAATGACACTAACTTGTGCTGACATTTCCTGTACTTTATTTTAAAAACCTAAAGGAAAACTGTTAGTGAAGTCTGCTGTAATGCAGACTGCTAAAAGGAAAATATGTAAACTTTTAAAAGCAAACAGAAATAACTAAAAAAAAATGATCCTAAATTCAAAATAACCTGCAGACACTTAGTATTCAGACTTCTGGCCTGTGAGACAGAAAACCATGAGGCAATAAATTTCTGTTGTTTAAGTCATCCAGTTTGTGGCACTTCATTATGATTACTCTAGAAAACTAATACAATAAATTTAACGTTTCATAATTACAGTCATGTTCTGCATAACGATGTTTCAGTCAGTGATGGACCACATATTACAACAGTGGTCTCAGAAGGTTATAATGGAGCTGAAAAATTTTTGTCACCTAGTGACATGGTAGCTATTGTAATGTCACAGTGTAGCACATTACTCATGTGTTTGTAGTGATGCTGGCATAAAAAAATCCTACTGCACTGACAGTCATTATAAAAGTACAATATAGAACATACAATTATGTACAGTTGTAATACTTGATAATGATAAACAACTGTTACTAGTTTTGTATTTATTATACTACACATTGTATTGTTATTTTAGAGTATACTTTTTCTATTTATTATGAAACGTTAACTGTAAAGCAGCCTCAGGCATGGTGTGCAGGAGATATTCCAGAAAAAGGCATTGTTATCATAGTAGATGACAGCTCCACGTGTGTTATTACCCCTAAAGACCTTCTAGTGGAATGAGATGTGGAGGTGGGGGACAGTGATATTGGTTATTTATGATCTTGATATTGTGCAGGCCTAGGTTCATGTGTGTGTCTGTGTATTAACATTTAACAAAAAATTTAAAAAGTTACAAAACTAAAAATAGAAAAAAGCTTATGGAATAAAGATATAAACAAATAAAATATTTCTGTGCAGTTGTACAATGTGTTTGTGTTTTAAGGTAAATGCTATTGCGAAAGAGTCAGAAAGTTTAAGAAATTTATAAAGTTAAAAAGTTGCAGTAAGCAAGTGATAATTTATTAATAAAGAAAGAAAGTTGTTAACGTAAATGTAGTGTAGCCCAAGTGTATAGTGTTTATAAAGTCTACACTAGCGAACAGTATTGCCCTACACCTTCACATTCATTCACCGCTCACTCACTGGCTCACCCAGAGCAACTTCCAGTCCTGCAAGCTCCATTCATGGTAAGTGCCCTAGACAGGTGCGCCATTTTAAATCTTCTATACCATATATTTACTGTACTTTTTGTTTGTTTATATTTAGATACACAAATACATACCACTGTGTTAAAATTGCCTCCAATATTCAGTACAGTAACATGCTATTTAGGTTATACAGGTGTGTAGCCTAGGAGCAATAAGCTATACCATATTAGCCTAGGTATGTATTAAGCTATACCATCTAGCTTTGTGGAAGTAACACTCTATGATGTTTGCAGGGCAATGAAATAGCCTAACACATTTCTCAAAACATATACCTATTGTCAAATGATGCATGACTACGTGTGGAAGCCTGTTTCTATCTATTTAGAAGTACACACACACAACATGTGTGCATGTAAGTGTGGGCATGTGCACTCACAAACACACCCTGAGGGACGTTAAGGCAGAATTAATTGTATATTTCCAAAATTAACACTCATTTTATTTTTAAGCAAAAATATTTAGGGCTCTAATTCTATAAAATGATAAAATAAACAGCTGTGTTACAGCAGTCCTAGAAACAGTTTGTATTATTAATTCTAAATCAGCCTAGAGAGTCATTGAGGTTGAATAAGAATGACAAATGTCAGTGCATCATGAAGAACAAATGAAAAGGGACAAATGCTATAGCAGACCTCAGGTGTGGGCTGCTTTGGGAGTGGCATTCTCATGTAGACATTCTTATTTGGATCATACGTAATCCACACATGAAGGCATAAAATATTTTGACAGCAAAATTCCAGTGTGCCAGCAAGTGTGCAATTTGAACCCCAGCAGCTTCTTAGGAACACGTATTAAGTTGGTGCAAAAGTGACCGCAGTTCCTGTCATTACTTTTAATAACAACTATCTCATAAAGGTGTTTTGAAGGTTAAATATTAAAGTGCCTGTAATAGTACCTGATACACAATGTACGTGGTTTTAATGGCAAAAACCACAATTACTTTTGCATCCACCTAAAGAGGGGGGATTCATTTGACAGTGAAACATTGAAGTAACTGTAGATTAAGTGACTTCTCTCAATTATTCAGTGGGAGATTCTTCCAGATAGCATTCAAATTAGAAATTATTTTATTTCTGTTCAAAGTCAGACACATTTATATAACAGCAGTGCAAACAGATATATTTGTAGAATTACATTTACTTATATATGCTTATATACAATATTATATGCATTTCATCATTATAATGTCATTCTGTTACATGTTAAAAGTTTTGAGTGGCGTGTGTATGCGTATGTGTGTGTGTATGTATCTTTTTTTGTACACTGTGAAAACTCACATACTCCAGGAGAGGGGATCACAGTTTAAGATCTTAATTAGCAACCACCCAAATTAGTAGTGCATCTTTCAGCTGAAGGGATGAGGGAGGGAACATTTAGGAGTAGGTTGAAGATAGACAACAAAGATAGGAAAAAATTTGGTTACATCTTTATCTAAGAACATTCCTGAAAGCGATAATATAGGTGAGAGAATACTAAGCAACTTGGTGAGCCCCAGGTAATCTTTCAACACACACTGACATTTTTTACTTCTCTTCAGTTACACCCTGCAGAAAGCACAATACGAACACTGGGTTGCCAGGAGTTGGTTTGCCTTGATCTTTGGGGTTGGGAGAACTGCAAAGAGTTGAAGTGGTTTAGACATTTTTAGAATTTTCTGGAATGCATTCTTCAGATCCTCATTGTAATAATGCCCCTGAGAAGATTTCCAGCATATAAACTCTACTCTAGACCAGAAGCTTTATTTAATAATTATAGATGTGTTTGTCTGAATATGGAATCATTTGTATCTTGCCTGGTTGCAATAAGCTGTTAATCATCTCCTCTCCCAGTAACATTAATAATGGTCGTACATTGTGTATTAGGTACTATTGTAGGTACTTTATATTTAACCTTCAAAACGCCTTTATGAGATACATGTTATTATTTTCATTTTACAAAAACATTGAGAATTTATGGAACAAGACAAGGATACCCACTCTAGCCACTCCTACTCAATACAGTTAACCAGGGAGATGAAAGATCTCCGTGAAAATAATTACAAAATACTGTTGAAAGAAATTAAAGATGACACAAAGAAGTGGAAAAATAGTCCATTGTGGGCAGCAAGCCACCCAGGTGCCAAGGCAAGAGACCGAGGACACAAGCTGTTCCAATATAATAAAGAAAATATATAAAATAAGAATAGTTATACTAGAAATAGATTATAGATAGATATGATGATATATGAACATTATTAATCATCAGTTTATAGCATTACCCTTTATTCCAATATTATAATAATCTTTTCTCTACAATTATAACCTAGGAAAAACCAGGCCATAAAGAGATAGGAGCTGAAGGGGCAAGGTGAGAAGTGACCAGAAGACGTGTGAGCCCTCTGTCATGCCCGAACAGGGCCGCTAGAGGGCTCCTTGGTATAGCGGTAACGCCAGTGCCTGGGAAGGCAACCGTTACTTAGCTGATCTTGGTCTAGCAGTAGCGTCAGTGCCTAGGGAAGGCACTCATTACTTAGCAGACCTCCCCAGGAGAGTTAGAGAAGACTCTGCTCCACCACCTCTTGTGGAAGGCTTGACGTCAGTCATGCCCACCCACAGCCATCTGGAGGCCTAACCGTCTCTCTGTGATGCTGTGCTTCAGCGGTCACACTCCTGTTTCACTTTCATGTTCCATTCTGTACACCTGGCTCCGCCCTCTAGATAGCAGTAGCAGAATTAGTGAAAGTATTTAAGTCTTCAATCTTTCTGAGAAGAGCATAGAAGAAATAATGACGTAGGCTGTCCTCTCTCTCTCAGCCTCAGCTACCTAAAAGGGAAAGGCCCCCTGTCTGGTGGACACATGACTCACGTGACCTTACCAATCATTGGAGATGACTCACACTCCTTACCCTGCCCCTTTGGCCTTGTATACAATAAATAGCAGTGCAGTCAGGCATTCGGGGCCACTACTGGTCTCCGTGTCTTGGTGGTAGTGGTCCCCCAGGCCCAGCTGTCTTTTCTTCTATCTCTTTGTCTTGTGTCTTTATTTCTACAATCTCTCATTTCCGCACAAGAGTAGAAAAACCCACAGACCCTGTAGGGCTGGTCCCTACAATCCATCCTCATGGATAGTAAGAATTAATATTGTTAAAATTGCCATACTGCCCAAAGAAATTTACAGATTCAATGCTATTCCTATCAAACTCCCAATGACTTTCTTCACAGAATTAGAGAAAATTATGCTAAAATTCATACAGGACCCAAAAAGAGCTTGAAGAGCCAAAGCATTCCTAAGAAAAAAAAACAAACCTAAAACATTACATTACCTGACTTCAAACCATGTTACAAGGCTACAGTAACTAAAATAGCATGATACTCATACATAAACAAACACATAAACCAATGGAACAAAAAAGGCCAGAAATAAAGCCACACAACTGCAACAATCTGATATTCAACAAAGTCAACAATAACAAGCAATGGATAAAGGATTCCCTATTCAATAAACGATGCTGGGATAACTGGCTAGCCATATGCAGAAGATTGAAACAGGACTACTTTCTTACACCATTTAAAAAATTAACTAAAGATATATGAAAGACTTTAATGTAAAATCTAAAATTACAAAAACCCTTGAAGAAAACCTGTGGTATACTATTCTGGACATAGGACCTGGCAAAGATTTCATGATGAAGATGCTAAAAACAATTGCAAAAAAAAAATTGACAAATAGGACATAATTAAACTAAACAGCTTCTGCACAGCAAAAAAAAAAAGTCATCAACAAAGTAAACAGACAACATACAGAATGGGAGAAAATACTTGCATAATATTCCTCTGACAAAAGTCTAATATGCAGAATCTATAAGGAACTTAAACAGATTAGCAAGCAAAAACCATGCAACCCCATTAAAAAGAGGACAAAGGAAATTAACAAACACTTCCCAAAAGAAGACACACACACACAGCCAACAAGCATGTGAAAAAAATGCCCAACATCACTAATTACTGGAGAAATGCAAATCAAAACCACAATGAGACACCATCTCACACCAGTAAGAATGGCTATTATTAAAGAGTCAAAAATAACAGATGCTGGCATGGTTTTGGAGAAAACGGAACGTTTGTACACTGCTGATGGGAATGTAAATTAGTCCAGTCATTGGGAAAAGCAATTTGGCAATTTCTCAAAGAACTTAAAAAAGAACTACCATTCAACCTGGCAATCCCATTATTGAATATATACCTAAAGGAATATAAATCGTTCTACCATAACAACACATGAACACGTATGTTCAACAAGATGATCTACCTGGCATTATGTTTACATATAATACTTGGTGTCACATACTGTTCCCAAATCAACGGCCTGGTAGAAAACAAAGTGTAACAAAATGGGATTGAAGCTGGCTGAATTTAGAGATGAGGTAGCCTTAGAAGTAAGTGTTAGAAAGTTTTCTTACAACCTGGGTTTTTGTGGGCCCACCTTCTTTTGTGGAGACAGTGAGGGAAATAGGTTTATTTCTTTCATTAAAACTGCACAGTCTATGAACATGTGAGAGCAATAACATTGGCTAACATCTATAGAGTACTCACTATGTATCAGCAGAGTCATCACATTGTCCAAATCTAAAAAGCATCATTCATGCTACATTCTATGTAAATGGCATCCCCTGAAATTGGGTTATTAATAGTACCGGGTGTCAGGCACTGTTCTAAACACTTTGCATATATTACCCCAATGTAATACTTATAACAACCCTAGGAGGTATGTACCATTATTATATCCACTGGACAGATGGAGGAACTGAGGTATAGAGAATATAAGTAACTAGGTCAAGGCTACATAGTAAGTGACAAAAAGTAGATTTAAATACAGCCTACTTAAATGTAGAGGCCATGATCATAACCACTACACAAACTGTCTCTACAAAGCTAGAAAAGAGTTTATGGATTTAGAAATGAAGAGATAGCAGTGGCTGGATGAAGAGCATCTGAATGAAGTTAGGAGGTAAAATGTATGCCAAAATTTTTTTTCACATTTGCTAAACCTGAGCCGCAAATTTGATTCTGAACTTTCGAGCTGTCAGTGCAGATGGAAACCCTATCAACTGTATGAGTTATAATATCTTAACAACAAATATTGTTACTAACATCAGATAACTAGTCTCTCATGAGATGTTTTCAAGAGGACATTGTGAGCAGTATCAACAAGACCTTGACAATAAATCCAGCAATTTGTTTCTTAAAGGCTGTTTCTAATAATTCCCCTTATTTTAATTCAATGCCTTAATGACAAAATGTCTGTAAAAGATATTATTGATCTATACTATGTCAAAATAAAGTTGCCCAGCAGTCCAGATTAACAATTCTCTGGTGACCTGGATTAAGCCAGAAATCGATTGTAAAGCATCCAAGGGGAAGTCCCCTTCAGGGACTTCACTATAAATATAAGCTTTTCAAATTAGATTTGGAAAGTGTTGAGCAGCAATAAATGCCAGGTTATTCTGTGTTAGAATCTGGCCTTTCTTTCCCTTCCTTCCTTCCTTCCTTCATTCCTACCTTCCTTCCTTCCTTCCTCTTTCTCTCTTTCTTTCTTTCTTTCTTTTCTTCTTTCTTTCTTTCATTTCTTTTTTCTTTCTCTCTCTTTTCCTGAAGGTCTCACTCTGTCACTCAGGCTGGAGTGCAGTGTAGCCATAGCTCACTAAAACTTCAAACATCTAGGCTCAAGTCATACTCCCACCTCAACATCCTGAGTAACTAAAACTACAGTTGCATGCCACCATCCCTGGCTATTTTTTATTTTATTTTATTTTGTTTTATTTCATTTTTGTAGAGACACAGTCTCACTATGGTTCCCTGGTTGGTCTTAAACTACTTGCCTCAGATTATGCCAAGATGGCTGACTAGACTCAGCAAGGTGGAACAACTGCCAGGGAGGGATCCAGACTACTAGCATACTTCTAACAAATCTTCAGAGGGAAGGCACCAAGATGGAGGGAAGTCGTAGAAGCTGGGCTGAACGGGCAGGAATATGGGAACTCTACACGGGGCTATTGTGCACCTGGACTCATTTCCTGCCCCCCCCATTGGATTCAGGGGAATAGGTGAGTTGAATTAGCAAGGAACAACGCATTCTCACCATTGGCCTCTGGAACTCCAGCAGGAGGAGATACTTCGACCACTATGGACACTCGAGTGGCAGAGATTGCTGCTTAGAGAAATGGTAGGGGCAGCATAGAGGCTGATGTGGAGCACAGAGAGATTAGTGTGAGAGCATCTCTAGCAGAGCACATCCAGAGACGGCCATGACCCTAGGCTTGACTTGTCCCCATAGGAGACTTTAGCCCTAGGGGAACTGTCAATCCTGAACTCTGCAGGGTGGTCTTACCCATCAGATGTGGCCAATCTGACCTGAGCACTACTTGGTCTGCTGGCCTCTACAGGGGTCGCTGGCTGGCCACAACTGCTTGTGGGGCAGTTTTGGGTGCCCTGAGGAATCACATAATAGCTTCTGTGCTGGTGGACTGTGCTTATCCAGTGAAGAGCTCCAGTAAGGTGGCCTCCATGGTCATGCACCAGCCTGCATGCTCCCTCCCACTCACTACAGCTTCCCCTAGACCCATGGCAACTACTCACATCACTTTTCAGGTCCATGTCTGCATAGGTGGATTTTGCTTTTTTTGCCCCGCCAGTGTGCTAGGGTGCATGCACCCTTCCCTGCTACTACTGTGGTGGGAGTGTAGACACCCCTTGTACCCCTGCTAACTGCCATTACAGATGGAGACTAGGCAGGAAAAGAGCCAACCAGCCCCACCTCCACCAGCACCCCACCCTTGCACTAACACTGCCTTGGAAGTGAAATAAGGTGCAGAGAACAGTAGATACTCCCCTATCCTGAGTGACCACTCCACTTTGTGACACACAGAGAAGGCATACAGACCTGGGCCTGCCAACACCGAGCCCCTGAGCGAAGGCCACCACCAGCGGGACTGCACAGTCATTAGCAGGGACCCCTCCATACTCCCACCCATGAGATGCATTGCCTCCACCACTGTGGCGAATGCCTGCATGGAAGCAAGCACCCAACCACCCGCTAGCACCCCGCAGCAGCTGATGAGTGTGCACCACACCATACTGCTGGCATGTATGAATAAGGATAGATCCCACTGTTCACAGTACTATGAAATGCTTTGGCTGACAAGACTCATCGAAGGGTAGTGACCAGGGGGTCTGGGAGCAACTTTATTTTCCTTAACCCAGTACAGTGGGTTTCTAACCTCAAGGAGCCAGGATAAAAAAAGTCAGGCCCAGTACAAGTCCCTCAGTGTTAGAGCACACAATCCAGGAGTTGGGAGCTGAGTGTTAGCCCCATAAAAGAATCCAGAAATGAAGCCAGTCAGCCGAATACAGCTTATACCAAAGTCAATACATCAAGGTCATTGAATAGAATAAAAGAAAGAAACAACCATCCAAAGGTCAGCAACTTCAAAGATTGAAGTAACATCAACCCACAAAGATGAGAAAAAAAATACAGCACATGGAGAGGATGTGGAGAAATAGGAACACTTTTACACTGTTGGTGGGACTGTAAACTAGTTCAACCATTGTGGAAGTCAGTGTGGCGATTCCTCAGCGATCTAGAACTAGAAATACCATTTGACCCAGCCATCCCATTACTGGGTATACATCCAAAGGACTATAAATCATGCTGCTATAAAGACACATGCACACATATGTTTATTGCGGCACTATTCACAATAGCAAAGACTTGGAACCAACCCAAATGTCCAACAATGATAGACTGGATTAAGAAAATGTGGCACATATACACCGTGGAATACTATGCAGCCATAAAAAATGATGAGTTCATGTCCTTTGTAGGGACATGGATGAAATTGGAAATCATCATTCTCAGTAAACTATTGCAAGGACAAAAAACCAAATACTGCATATTCTCACTCATAGGTGGGAATTGAACAATGAGAACACATGGACACAGGAAGGGGAACATCACACTCTGGGGACTGTTGTGGGGTGGGGGGAGCGGGGAGGGATAGCATTAGGAGATATACCTAATGCTAAATGATGAGTTAATGGGTGCAGCACACCAGCATGGCACATGTATACATATGTAACTAACCTGCACATTGTGCACATGTACCCTAAAACTTAAAGTATAATAATAATAAAATAAAATGAAATAAAAAAAGAAAAAAAATACAGCACAAAAACTTTGACAACTCAAAAAGCCAGAGTGCATTCTTTCCTCCAAACTACTACAGTACCTTTCTAGTGAGAGTTCTGAACAGGGCTGAGATGGCAGAAATGATAGAAATAGAACTCACAAATATGGAGAGTCACAGTGATAATTGAGATGCAGGAATTTCAGGAAGCCAAGAATCACACTGAAATAATACAGGAGCTGACAGATGAAAATAACCAGTATAGAAAAGAATATAACTGACCTGCTAGAGCTGAAAAACATACCACACAAATTTTATAATGCAATCGCAAGTATTATAGCAGAATAAGCCAAGCTTAAAGAAGAATCTCTGAGTTTGAAAACTGACTTTCTGAAATAAGACAGGCAGATAAGAATAGAGAAAAACAATAAAAAGGAGCAAACAAAACCTCTGAGAAATAAGGGATTATGTAAAGAGATAAAATCTATGACTCATTGGTGTTCCTGAAACAGATGAGGAGAGTGTAAATAACTTAAAAATTATATTTCTGGATATCATTTATGAGAACTTCCCCAACCAAGATAGAAAGGAGAGGCCTGCTGAATGTTTGGAAAATGCAGAGAACCTCAGCAAGATATTTCACAAAAAGATCATCCCCAAGACATATAATCATAAGATTCTCCAAGGTTGAAAGGAAAGAAAAAATGTTAAAGGCAGCTAGAAAGGAATATCATATCACCTACAAACAGGAGCCCATCAGACTAAGAGTGGACCTCCCAGCAGAAACCCTACAAGCCAGAAGAGATTGGGGACCAATATTCAGCATTCTTAAAGAAAAGACATTCCAACCCAGGATTTCATATATGGCCAAAGTAAGCTTTAAAAGTGAAGAAATAAGAGAAATAAGACCCTTTTAAAATAAGCAAATGCTGAGGGAATTTATTACCAGCAGACCTGCCTTACAAGAGCTCCTGAGAGAAGCACTAAATATGGAAAGAAAAGACCATGTCTGGCCAATACGAAAACACACTTAGGTACACACACCAGTGACACTATAAAGAAAATGCACAAACGAGTCTGCATAATAACCGGTAACATCATGAGAACAGTATCAAGTCCACACATTTCAATACTAACCTTGAATGTGAATGGACTCAAAGACTCAATTAAAAATCATAGAGTGTCAAGTTGAATAAACAACCAAGACCAGTGGTACACTGTCTTCAAGAGACCCATCTCATATGCAGTGACACACATAGGCTCAAAATAAAAAAAAAAATGGAGAAAAATCTACCAAGCAATGGAAAACAGAAAAGAAGGGGTTGCAATCCTAATTTCAGACAAACAGACTTACATCAACAAAGATCAAAAAGACAAAGAAGGGCATTACATAATGATAAAGGGTTTAATTCAACAAGAAAACCTAACTATCTTAAATATATGTGCACCCAACACAGAAGCACCCAGATTCATATAGCAAGTTATTAGGGACCATCGAAGAGACTTAGACTCCCACACAATAATGGTGGGAGAATTCAACACCACACTGACAGTATTAGACAGATCACTGAGGCAAAAAAATAACAATGATATTCAGGACCTAAGCTCAGCAAGGGATCAAATGGTCCTAATAGATATCCACAGAACTCTGCACCCCAAAACAACAGAATATACTTTCTTCTCAAGGCCACATGATACATACCATGAAGTCAATCACATACTCGGACATAAAGCACAACTCAGCAAATGCAAAAGAATTGAAATCATACAAACCACTCTCTTGAACCACAGCACATTTAAAAAGGAATTCAAGACTAAGAAAATAGTTCAAAACCCAATGAGAACACATGGACGCAGGGAGGGGAACATCACACACCGGGGCCTATTCAGGGGTGGGGGACTGGGGGAGGGATAGAGTTAGAAATATGTAATGTAAATGACCAGTTGATGAGTGCAGCAAAACAACATGATACATGTATACCTATGTAACAAGCCTGCACGTTGTGCACATGTACTCTAGAACTTGAAGTATAATAATAAAAAAAGTCAAAAAAAAAAAGAAAAATAGTTCAAAACCATAAAATTACATGGAAATTGAATAACCTGCTCCTGAATGACTTTAGGGTAAATAATGAAATGGAAGCAAAAAATTAAGACATTCTTTGAAATTAATAAGAAGAAAAATACAGCTTACCAAAAATTAGGAGACACGGCTAAGTCAGTGTTGACAGGAAAATTCATAGCACTAAATGCCCTCATCAAAAAGTTACAAAGATTGTAATTTAACAACCTAACATCACAATTAAAAGATCTAGAGAACCAAAAGAAAACTAACTCAAAAGCTAGCAGAAGACAAGAAAAGACCAAAATCAAACCTGAATTGAAGGAGATTGAGACATGAAAAACTATTCCAAAGATCATCAATTTCAGTAGCTGATATTTTGAAAAAACTATTATGATAAATAGATCACCAGCTAGAATAATAAAGTAGAAAAGAGAAAAAATCCAAATAAACACAGTTAGAAATGACAAAGAAGACATTATCACTGATGGCACAGAAATACAAACAACCATCAGAAAATCCATTATGAAAAAATCTATGCACATATACTAAAAAATCTAGAAGAAATGGATGAATTCCTGAACACACACACACCCTCCCAAGACTGAACAAGGAAGAAATTGAATCCCTGAATAAACCAATAATGAGCTCTGAAATTGAGTCAGTAATAAATAGCCTACCAACCAAGAAAATCAAAGGACCAGACAGTTGGGAAGGGGGAACTCCTCCCTAATTCACTATATGAGGCCAGCATCATCCTGATAACAAAACCTGAGAGAGATACAACAACAAAAACTTCACTCCAATATCCTTAATAAATATTGATGCAAAAATTCTCAACAAAATACAGATAAGCTGAATCCAGCAGCACTTCAAAAACTTATCTAGCACAATCAAGTACACTTTATCGTGTAATGCAAGATTGGTTCAACATACACAAATTAGTAAATGTGGTTCATCACATAAACAGAACTAAAGACAAAAACCACATGATTATCTTAATAAATGAAGAAAGGCTTCTGATAAAATTCAGCACTCCCCCATGTTAAAAACTCCCAATAAAATAGGTATTGACGGAATATACCTGAAAATAATAACAGTCATCAATGACAAGCCCACAGCCAACGACATACTGAATGAGCAAAAGCTGGAAGCATTGCCCTTGAAAACTGGCACAAGACAGGTACACCCTCTGTCACTGCTCCTATTTAATATATTACTGGAAGTCCTGGCCAGAACCATCAGGCAAGAGAAAGAAATAAAGGGCATCCAAATAGGAAGAGAGAAAGTAAACCTATCCCTGTTTGCAGACAACATGATTCTATATTTACAAAACCCCATGGTCCCTACCCAAAAGCTCCTCGAGGTGATAACTTCAGCAAAGTCTCAGGACACAAAATCAATGTACAAAAATTACTAGCATTTCTATACACAAACAGTCAAGCTGAGAGCCAAATAAAGAATGCAATCCCATTCACAATTGTACCCCACAACCAAAAAAAAACAAAAAAACAAAAAAAAACATAAAATACCTAGGAATACAGTTAATGAAGGTGAAAGAACTGTAAAATGGGAATTACCAAACTCTGCCCAAGGAAATCAGAGATGACACTAATGGGAAAATATTTCTTGCTCATTAATAGAAAGAATATAAATATTGTTAAAATTGCCATACTGTCCAAAGCAATTTATAGATTAAATGCTATTCCTATCAAACTATCAATAAATTGGAAAATCTAGAAGAAATTGGGCAAATTCCTAGACACTACAACCTACCAACATTGAACCAGAAAGAAATTCAAAATCTGAACAGACTAATAACAAGTAATGAGGTCAAAGCCATAATAAAACGTCTGTAAGTCAAAGCTTGGGACCTGTTGGCATCACTGCTGAATACTACCAAACATTTAAAGAAGAACTAATACTGATTCTACTCAAACTATTCTGAAAAATAGAGGAGGAGGGAATACTTCCAAACTCAATCTGCAAGGCCACTATTACCCTGATGCCCAAATAATAAAAAGACACACCACCAAAAAAAGAAAACTACAGGCCAATATCTCTGATGAATAGTGACATAAAAATCGTCAACAAAATACTAGCAAACCTTATTGAGCAATACATTAAAAACTTTATTCATCTTGACTAAATAGGATTTATCCTTGGGATGCAACAATGGTTCCACATACACAAATCAATCAATGTGATACATTCATCAAGAGAATGAACGACAAAGGCCGTATGATCATTTCAATTCATGCTGCAAAAGCATTTAATAAAATTTGACATTCCTTTATGATAAAAACAAAATTGTCAAAAAATTGGGTATAAAAGAAAGATACCTCAACACAATAAAAGCCATATGTAACAGACCCACAGCTAGTACCATGAACGGGGAAAAAACCTGGAAGACTTTCCTCTAAGATCTGCAACACTACAAGGATGCCCACTTTCACCACTGTTATTCAACATAGTACTGAAAGTCTTAGTTAGAGCAATTACACAAGAGAATGAAATAAAGAGCATCCAGATTGGAAAGGAAGAAGTCAAATTATCCTTTTATAAAGATGATATAATCTTATATTTTTAAAAACCTAAAGATTTCACAAAAAAACTATTAGAACTGATACACAAATTCAGTAAGGTTGCAGGATACAAAATCAAAACAGAAAAATTAGTAGCATTTCTATATGATAACAGTGAGGAAGGTGCAAAAGAAATAAAAAAGTAATCCCACTTATAAATCCACATGTAAAATTAAATACCTAGAAATTAACTTGACCAAAAAAGTGGAAGATCTCTGTAATAAAAACTATAGAATCCTTATGGGAAAAAAAATGGAAGAAGACACCAAAAAAATGAAAAGTATTTTGTATTCATGTATTGAAAGAATCAATATTATGAAAATGTCCATACTCCCCAAAGCAATCTACAAATTCAAAGCAATCCCTATCAAAATACCAATGGCATTCTTCACATAAGTAGAAAAAAAACTATTCTAAAATTTATATGAAACGAGAAAAGACTCAAAATATCCAAAGTTATCCTAAGCAAACAGAATAAAGCTGGAGGAATCACATTAGCTGACTTCAAATTACACTACAGAGCTATAATAATGAAAACAGCATGGTACTGGCTCAAAAACTGAAACATAGACAAATGGGACAGAATAGAAGACACAGAAACAAATCCACACACCTAGAGTGAACTCATTTTCAATGAAGGTGCCAAGTACATATGCTGAGGAAAAGACAGTCTTCTCAATAAATGATACTGGGTGGTACTGGTACCAAAACAGATATATAGACCAATGGAACAGAACAGAGTCCTCAGAAATAACACCACACATCTACAACCATCTAATCTTTGACAAACCTGACAAAAAAAAGAAATGGGGAAAGGATTCCCTATTTAATAAATGGTGCTGGGAAAACTGGCTAGCCATATGTAGAAAGCTGAAACTGGATCCCTTCCTTACAGCTTACACAAAAATTAATTCAAGATGGATTAAAGACTTACATGTTAGACCTAAAACCATAAAAACCCTATTAAAAAAACCAAGGCAATGCATTCAGAACATAGGCATGGGCAAGGACTTCATGACTAAAATACGAAAAGCAAGGGCATCAAAAGCCAAAATAGACAAATGGGATCTAATTAAACTAAAGAGCTTCTGCACAGCAAAAGAAACTGCCATCAGAGTGAACAGGCAACCTACAGAATGGGAGAACATTTTTGCCATCTACCCATCTGACAAAGGGCTAGTATCCAGAATCTACAAAGAACTTAAACAAATTTACAAGAAAAAAACAAACAACCTCATCAAAAAGTGAGCGAAGGATATGAACAAACACTTCTCAAAAGAAGACATTTATGCAGCCAAAAGACACATGAAAAAATGCTCATCATCACTGGTCATCGGAGAAATGCAAATCAAAACCACAATGAGATACCATCTCACACCAGTTAGAATGGCAATCATTAAAAAGTCAGGAAACAACAGATGCTGGAGAGGACGTGGAGAAATAGGAAGACTTTTACACTGTTGGTGGGAGTGTAAAGTAGTTCAACCATTGTGGAAGACAGTGTGGTGATTCCTCAAGGATCTAGAACTAGAAATACCATTTGACTCAGCCATCCCATTACTGGGTATATACCCAAAGGATTATAAATCATGCTATTATAAAGAAACATGCCACATTTATTGTGGCATTATCCACAATAGCAAAGACTTGGAACCAACCAAAAAGTCCGTCAATGGTAGAATGGATTAAGAAAATGTGGCACATATACACCATGGAATACTATGCAGCCATAAAAAGGATGAATTCATGTCCTTTGTAGGGACATGGATGAAGCTGGAAACCATCATTCTCAGCAAGCTATCGCAAGGACAGAAAACCAAACACTGCATGTTCTCACTCACAGGTGGGAATTGAACAATGAAAACACTTAGACACAGGGTGGGGAACATCACACACTGAGGCCTGTCATGGGGTATGGGGATGGGTGAGGGATAGCATTAGGAGAAATACCTAATGTAAATGATGAGCTGATGGGTGCAGCAAACCAACATGGCACATGTTTACCTATGTAACAAACCTGCATGTTGTGAACATGTATCCTAGAACTTGAAATATAATATAAAAAAAGATTGAAATTGTAATTGAAAAATAAACAAATAATAAAATAAATAATGATGCTGGGAAAACTAGATATCCATATGAAGAAGAATAACTAGACCCTTATCTCTCAGAATATACAAAAATCAAAACAAAATGAATAAAAGACAAATCTAAGACCTCATACTATGAAACTACTACAAGGAAACATTGGGGAAAATCTCCAGGACATTGGTCTTGGTAAAAAAACATTGTTGACCAATACCCCACAAGCGCAAGCAACCCAAGCAAACATGGACAAATGGGGTCACATAAAGTTAAAAAGCTTATTCACAGCAAAGTATACAATCAACGAAGTGAAGAGGCAATCCACCAAATGGGAGAAAATATTTGCAAACTACACATCTGACAAGGGGTTCATAACCACAATATATAAAGAGTTCAAACAACTGTGTAGAAAAAAATCTAATAATCTGATCAAAAAATGAGTCAATGATCTGCATAGACATTTCTCAAAAGAAGACATGCAAATGACAAACAAGCACACAAAAATGTACTCAACGTCATTGATCATCAGAGAAACGCAAATCCAAACAACAATGAGATATCATCTCACTTCAGTTAAAATGGCTTGGATCCAAATGACAGGCAATAACAAATGCTGGCAAGAATGTGGAGAAAACTGAACCCCTGTACACTGTTAGTGGGAATGTAAATTAGTACTATCACTATGGATAACAGTTTAGAGGTTCCTCAAAAAAAGAAAAAAAAACTAAAAATTCAGATACCACAGGGTCGATCTAGCAATCCCACTGCATGGTATATACCCAAAATAAAGGAAATTAGTGTATTGAAGAGATATCTGCACTCCTATGTTTGTTGCAGCACTGTTTACAATAACTAATATTTGGAAGAAACCTAACTGTCCATTAACAGACAAATGGATAAAGAAAATGTGGTTCATATACACAAAGGAGTAGTATTCAGCCATAAAAAAGATTCAATTATTTGCAACAACATAAATGGAACTGGAAATCATTATGTTAATTACATTAAGCCAGGCACAGAAAGATAAACATTGCATGTTCTCACTTGTTTGTGGGATCCAAAAATCAAAATAATTGAACTCATGGACATAGCGAGTAGAAGAATGGTTACCAGAGGCTGGAAAGCGTAGTAGAGATCTGGGGGTAGGAGGGGATGCTTAATGGGTATAAAAATAGTTAGAAAGAGTGAATAAGACCTACTATTTGATAGCACAATAGGGTGACTACAGTTAATAACTTCACTTTTATTAAAACTTAAAATTTGTAATTTGGTTTTTTTGCAACTCAATGGATAAATGCTTGAGGGAATGAATACCCACCCTATGCTTCATGATGTGCTTATTTCACATTGCTTGCCTGTATCAAAACATTGCATGTACTCCAAAAAATGTACACCTATTATGTACCCACAAACTTAAAAAAAATTTAAAAAGAGCTTTTTGTGAGCTGCTATGATCCAGCTCCAGCACAATATTAGGTAGATTCCATTATTTTCATTTTACAAATTAAGGAATCAAGAACCAGATTAGTCAAGAAATTTGACCCGGAACCTAGGTCACACAGCTAGTAAGTGGCAGAACTCAGATTTTAACCCAGAAATTCTGACGCCAGAGGCTATTATCTTAATCGCCTGCTTCTTCTGATAGGTTAAGTGATACTTGGATGAGAGTTTTTTCTTTGGCTTTTATTCGTGACGGTGGAGCCTAGCAAACTCTGTGGCCTCCTTTTTTCAGGAAGAATCTATCAAATACTGGATGGGCTACAGATGCAATATCTGGATAATTTCAGATATCCTCTCTGTCCCAAGTGAATGATTTGCTGACACCAAGCTTCTGTCAAGGTTAAAATAATACTGTATAGGAATGTACTGCCACTTTAAACATCAATGTATTTATCTGTAAAATGTAGAAAATAAGGCTAAGCCCAGAAGAACCTTGCTTTTGAAGGGTGTATTTTTGAAGGCCCACTAAATGCCAGGTACTTTTTGCAATTTATTTAAGTGCCAGGTAATTTTGCACATTTTCTTTAGAGAAGCAAAACTAATATCCCAATTTAAAGGTTAGACAAATAAAAATCTGGCTTACTATCAATCAATTAGCAAAATGCAAGAACCAGGTTTCAAACTTAGGTCTATTTAACTCCAAGGCTCATGTTCTAGGCCAATAACAAGTTCTGAAATTGAATCAATAATAAAAAGCCTACAAATCAGGGAATGCCTAGAACCAGATGGATTTACAGCTAAGTTTTGCCAGATGTATGAGGAAGAACTAGTACCATTCCTACAGAAACTATTCAAAAAAATTTAGGAGAAGGGACCCCTTTCTAACTAATTATATGAGGCCAGAATCATACTGATACTAAAATCTGGCAGAGTCACACACAAAAGTAAACTTTAGGCCAATATCCTTAATGAACATCATTGCAAAAATGCTCAACAAAATACTGGCAAACCGAACCCAGCAGCACATCAAAAGCTTATCCACTATGATCAAGGAGGGTTTATCTCTCGGATGCAAGGTTTGTTCAACATGCACAAATCAATAAATGGGATTCACCACATAAACAGAACTAAAAACAAAAATCACACCATCATCCCAATAGATGTAGAAAAGGCCTTTGATAAAAAAATTTAATTTTTTTTAAAGGGCTAATATCCAGAATCTACAATGAACTCAAACAAATTTACAAGAAAAAAACAAACAACCCCATCAAAAAGTGAGCAAAGGATATGAACAGACACTTCTCAAAAGAAGACATTTATGCAGCCAAAAGACACATGAAAAAATGCTCATCATCACTGGCCATCAGAGAAATGCAAATCAAAACCACAATGAGATACCATCTCACACCAGTTAGAATGGCAATCATTAAAAAGTCAGGAAACAACAGGTGCTGGAGAGGATGTGGAGAAATAGGAACACTTTTACACTGTTGGTGGGACTGTAAACTAGTTCAACCATTGTGGAAGTCAGTGTGGCGATTCCACAGGGATCTAGAACTAGAAATCCCATTTGACCCAGCCATCCCATTACTGGGTATACACCCAAAGGAATATAAATCATGCTGCTATAAAGACACATGCACACGTATGTTTATTATGGCACTATTCACAATAGCAAAGACTTGAAACCAATCCAAAAGTCCGACAATGATAGACTGGATTAAGAAAATGTGGCACATATACACCATGGAATACTATGCAGCCATAAAAAATGATGAGTTCATGTCCTTTGTAGGGACATGGATGAAGCTGGAAACCATCAATCTCAGCAAACTATCGCAAGGACAAAAACCAAACATCGCATGTTCTCACTCATAGGAGGGAATTGAACAATGAGAACACATGGACACAGGAAGGGGAACATCACACTCTGGGAACTATTGTGGGGTTGGGGGAGGGGGGTGGGATAGCATTAGGAGATATACTTAATGCTAAATGACGAGTTAATGGGTGCAGCACACCAGCATGGCACATGTATACATATGTAGCTAACCTGCACATTGTGCACATGTACCCTAAATCTTAAAGTATAATAATAATAAAAAAAAACTACCAAGATTGAATCACGAAGAAATCTAAAACCTTAACTGATTAGTAACAAGTAATGAGATTGAAGCTTTAACAAAAATTCTCCCAGCAAAGAAAACGGGGACCCCATGGCTTCACTGCTGAATTCTACCAAACATTTAAAGAACTAATACCAAATCTACTCAAACTATTCCAAAAAATAGAGGAGGAGGGAAACTGCCAAATCCATTTTACAAGGCCAGTAATACCTTGATACCAAAACCAGGCAAACACACATCAGTAAAAGAGTATGTACAGGCCAATATACCTGATGAACAGTGATACAAATTTCTTCAGCTAAATACTAGCAAACTAAATTTAACAATACTTTTACAAACTTGTTTATCATGACCAAGTGGGATTTATCCCAGGAATGCAAGCATGGTTCAGTGCATGCAAGTTAATCAATGTGATACATCGTATCAACATAATGAAGTGAAATAACCATATATTTACACATTTGAGGATGAAAAAACATTTGATATATTTCAGCATCCCTTCATGATGAAAACACTTAAAAAACTGGGTATAGAAGAAACATACCTCAACACAATAAAAGCCATATTTGACAGATACACAGCTAATACTATACTGAATGGATAAAAACTGAAAGCCATTCTTTTAAGATCTGGAACATGACAAAGATATTCAATCTCACCATTGTTATTCTGCATACTAGTGAAATTTCTAGCTAGAGCAGTCAGACAAGAGGAAGAAATAAAAGGCATTCTAATTGGAAAGAAAGAAGTCACGTTATCCTTATTTGCAGATGCTATGATCTTATATATGAAAAAACCTAAAGTCTCCACAAAATAAGTAGTAGAACTGATAAAGAAATTTGATAAAATTAAAGGATACAAAGTCAACATACAAAAAGTCAGTAACATTTCTATATGCCAACAGCAAATGATCTGAAAAAGAAATCAAGAAAGTAATCACATTTACAATAGCTACAAATAAAATAAAATATCTAAGAATTAACTTAACCAAAGAAGTGAAAAATCTCTACAATGAAAACTATAAAATTTTGATGACAGAAATTAAAGAGGACACAGAAAATCAAAAGATATTCCATGTTCATGAATTGGAATAATCAGTATTGCTAAAATTTCAATATTCCCCAAAGAAATCTACAGATTCAATGCAATCCTGATTAAAATACTAATGACATTCTTCACAGAAATAGAAAAAAATCCTAAAATTTACGTAATACCAAAAAAGACCGAGAAGAGACAAAACTATCTTGAGTAAAAGAACAAAATACAAAGAATCACATTACCTGACATCAAATTATACTACAAAACAAAATGGCAGGGTACTGGCATAAAAACAGACACATAGACAAATGGAACAGAATAGAGAACCTGAAATAACAAATCCATTCATATAGAGCAAATTCATTTTTGACAAAGGTGCCAAGAACATACAATGGGGAAAGGATAGTCTCTTAAATAATAATCCATCAATAAAGGATAGTCTCCGGGAAAAATTGGATATCCATACTCAGAAGAATGAAACTTCACTCCTATTTTTTGCCATATACAAAAATCAAATCAAAATGAATTAAAGACTTAAATCTAAGACCTCAAACTATGAAACTACTAAGAGAAATCTTTTGGAAAACTCTCCAGGATGTTAGACTGAACCAGGATTTCTCGGGTAGTATCCCATAACCAGAGAGATACAAAACAAAAATGGACAAATGGGATCACATCTAGTTAAAAAGCTTCTACCTAGCAAAGGAAACAATCAACAAAGTGAAGAGAGAACCCACAGAATGGGACAAAATATTTACAGACTACCTATCTGACAAAGAATTAATAACCAGAACATATAAGGAGCTCAAACAACTCTATAGGAAAAACTCTAATAATTCAATTTAAAAATGGGCAAAATATCTGAATAGACATTTTTCAAATAAAGACATACAAAGACAAACAGGTATATGAAAAGGTGGTCAACATCATTGATCATCAGAGAAATGCAAATGAAAACTACAATGAGGTATCATCTCATCCCAGTTAAAATTGTTTATATCCAAATATCAGGCAATAAAATATTCTGATGTGCATGTGGAGAAAAGGGAACTCTCGTACACTGTTGGTGGGAAAGTAAATTAGTACAATCACTATGCAGACAGTTTGGAGGTTTCTCAAAAAACTAAAAATAGAACTACCATATGACCCAGCAATATCGCTTCTACATATATACCCAAAAGAAAGAAAATCACTATATTGAAGAAATATCTGCACTCCCATGCTTATTGCAGCACTATTCACAATGGCTCAAAATTGGAAGCAACATAATTGACCATTAACAGACAAATAGATAAAGAAAGTGTGGCATTTATACACAATAGAGTGTTATTCAGCCATGAAAAGGAATCAGATCCTGTCATTTGCAACAACATGAATGGAAATAAAGGTCATTATGTTAAGTGAAATAAGCCAACCACAGAAAGACAAATTTCACATGGTCTCCCTTATTTGTGGGATCTAAAAATCAAAACAATTGAACTCATGGAGATAGAGAGTAGAATGATGTTCATCAGAAGCTGCGAAGGGTAGTAGGGTGTGAGGAAGTGGGGATGGTTAATGGACAGAAGAAAAAGTTTGGTGAAATAAATAAGATCTAGTATTTGATACCACAACAAGGTGACTATATTTAATACTAATTTACAGTACATTTAAAAATAAATAAAAGTGTATAGTTGAATTATTTGTAACACAAAGAAAGGATAAATGCTTGAGGTAATGCATACCCCATTTACCCTGATACGATTATTATGCATTTTATGCCTGTATTAAAATATCTCATGTACCAATAAATATATACACCTACATTGCATCTACAAAAATTAAAAATAAAAATTAATTTTAAAACACTTTGCCCATTTTATGTGTTTTATTATGTTAAATTTTGAGTTCTTTATATATTCTGGTTAAAAATCCTCTATTTATATATGTTATTTTAAAGACTTCTTCTAGTGTTTTAATTCCCTTAAATTTATTTTGCCAAAGAAAAATTTTAAATTTGGATAAAGCCCAACTTTTTTTTATATATCATGGATCATGCTTTCTGTTCTACGTTCAAGGCCTCTGCTCAATATAAAGATAGAAATACTGCCTTCTATGTTTTTTCCCAAAAAATTATAGTTTTACATTTTATATTTAAATATCTTATCCATTTTACCTCAATTTTCTGTGTGACTTACATGATTTGGATTAGAATAAATTCATGCTTTTATTTACTTAGTATATAGATGTCCAAGTATTTCAATACTATCTGTTGAAAGGACTAAACTTACTCTGTTGCATTGCCTTTGTACTTCTGTCAAAAATAAATTGGCCATATTTGTGTGGGTCTCTTTCTGGACTCTCCATTATGTTCCATTGATCTAGGTGTCTAGACCTTTACCAATACCATAATAACTTGGTTACTGTAGCTCTCAAGATAGTATTATATATCAGGTAGTCTGAATTCTACAACTTTTTTATTTTTCAAATGTTTTGACTATTTTACATCCTAGGGATTACTATAAAATTTTTAGAAGGCACTTGTCTGAATCTATTAGAACATCTGGGATTTTGATTGAAATTGCATTAAATCTATGAATTAATATGGGCAGAATTTATCCCTTAACTCTATAGAGTTTTTCAGTCCATGAATGCAGTATGTTATTTGTTTATTTAAGCATTCTCTGATTGCTTTTATCAGCATTTATTTTTTAGTATGCAGATTCTTCTAAGGTTTTATTAGATTTACACCTAGGTATTTCATTTTTATGGAGCTCTTGTACATGTTATTTTAAAAAATTTAATTTCGGATTGATCACTGCTATTATTAAATGTGATTGATTTTAACATGTTGACTTTTTATCCTGTGCTTTGCTAACCTCACTTTTCAGTTCAAAGAGCATATTTTTCAATTCCTTGTGATGATCTGCGAAGACAATCATGTTATCTTCAAATAAGAACAATTTTAACATTCCTTTCCAATCTCTATGTCATTTCCTTCTTTTTTTTTCCAACTGCATTGGATAGGACATACAGAACAATGTTAAATAGAAGTGGTGAGAGCGGATATTCTTATTTTGTTCTTCATCATAGAAGGAAATAATTTAGTCTTTTACTGTTAATTTTTATATTATCAATGGGTTATATGTAAATGTCCTTTATCAGGATTAAGAAGTTCACTTCCATTCCTAATTTTCTGAGTTTTAGTGTAAATTAATGTAGAGTTTTTCACCCTTAACTTTTTAAAATTTTTGGTACAATGTAATAACATAAGCTTTCAGTCTCTCACCCTTATGATGTTAGCTGTAGAGATGTTGAATCTTTTCAAAACTTTAGTGTTTGAATTGATATAATTGCGTGTTTTTTCTTCTTTTTCTCTATTTATATGTTGAATTACTAGTATGATGGATTACTATGATGGATGTATCAAATTTTTAAATACTGTAACAACTTTGTATTCTTGCATAGACTCTAGGTGTCATGTGTATATTGCTGAATTACATTTGCTTATACTTGTATTTTTAAGGATTTATTTCACCCATATTCTTGAAAACTATTTGGTCTCCACTTTTATTTTCTTGCAATATCTTTATTCGGTTTTTATATTGAGGCAAAGGACCATAAATCATGCTGCTATAAAGACACATGCACACGTATGTTTATTGCGGCACTATTCACAATAGCAAAGACTTGGAACCAACCCAAATGTCCAACAATGATAGACTGGATTAAGAAAATGTGGCACATATACACCATGGAATACTATGCAGCCATAAAAAATGATGAGTTCATGTCCTTTGTAGGGACAGGTGCAGTACCTGTAGGGACAGGTACTGTCATAAAGTAATTCTATTTTTAGTATTTTGAGAAGTATTTATATTGTTTTCCATAATGACTGAAATATTTTACATTACACCTACAGTTTATAAGGAGGGTTTCAACTCCTCTGCATCCTTGCCAACACTTGTTTTGTTTTGTTTTTTGATAATGGCCATCCTGATGGATGTGAAATGATATCTCACTGTGGTTTTGATCTGCATTTCTCTACTGATTAGGAATGTTAAGCATCCTTTACTGTGCTTATTGGTCATTTTATTTTTTTTTTCAAAGTATTCATAACTTTTCTTGTGATTTCTTTGATATATGAGCTTTTTTAAAAGTTTTATTATTTTGTAATTGGCATAAAATTGTGCATATTTTGAGGTACATAGTGATGTTTAAATACATAAAATATATAGTGACGACATCAGAATAATTAGCGTTTCCATCATTCCATGTATTATTTTATTGTGTTGGGATCATCTGATATCCTCTCTTCTAGTTATTTGAAAATATATATTATTGTTAACTATAGTCATCTTAGGGTGCCAGAGAACACTAGAACTTAGAACTTGAACTCTCCCTTTCCCTCCCTTCTACCTTTCCTAGCCTCCAGAAACCTTTGTTTTATTCTTTACTTCTATGAGTTCAACTTTTTTAGCTTCTGCATATGAGTGAGAACATGAATGTTTAACTTTCGGTTTCTGGCTTAATTTCACTTAACACAATCGCCTTCAAAGTATCCATGTTGCCTGAAATAATGGAAATTCATTTTTTTATATTGCTGAATAGCATCCCACTGTCTATATATGAGTTATTAGAAGTGTGTTGTAGACAAACTGTAAACAGAGTGGGAGAAATTATGTGCAAACTATGCATCCAACAAAAGTCTAATATCTAGAATCTATAAGGAACTTAAATTAATAAGCATAAAACTAACAATCTTATTTAAAAATGGGCAAAAGGTATGAATATTTTCCCAAAAAAGACATATATGTGACCAAAAAGCACATTAAAAAATGTTCAACATCACTAATTATCAAAGAAATGCAAATCAAAATCACAATGATATACCATCTCACATCAGTCAGTATGGCTGTTATTAAAAAGTAAAAAAAAAATAGACACTGGAGAAGTTGTGGAGAAAAGGGAATGCTTATACACACTTGGTGGGGGGATGTAAATTAATTCAGCCACTGTGGGAAACAGTTTGGCAATTTCTCAAAGAACTTATTAAAGAAGAGAGCAACCATTTGACCCAGCAATCCCATTATTGGATGTATATCCAAAGGAATATAAATCATTATACCATAAAAACACATGCACAAAGATGTTCATTGCAGCACTACTGACAATAGCAAAGACATGGAAATGATCTAAATGCCAATGAATGGTGGACCGGATAAAGAAAATGGGATATGCATGCACCATGGACTACTCTGCAGCCGTAAAAAAGAACAAGATTCTCTCTTTTGCAGCAACATCAATGCGGTTACAGGCCATTATCCTAAGCGATCTAACACAGGAACAGAAAACCAAATACCGCACTTTCTCACTTATAAATGGGAGCTAAACACCAAGTACACATGGACACAAAGAAGGAAACAACAGACACTGGGGCCTACTTGAGGGTGGAGGGAGGGAGTAGGGTAAGGATCAAAAATACCAGTTGGGCACTACGTTTAGTATGTGAATGACAAAATAATCTGTATGTCAAACCCCTGTGAAATGCAATTTACTTATATAACAAACCTGTGCATGTACCCCCAAACCTAAAGAAAACGTTTAAAAAAATTAACTTAAAAAAACTGTCATTTAATTTCCAAATATTTGAGGATTTTCTGTTTTTTTTATTTTCTGTTACTGATTTTAGTCTAATTTCATTGTAGTCAGATAACATGGTGTTTAGGATTTTCATTCTCTTATGTTTTGAGGCTTGTTTTATGACAAACAATATAGTCTATCTTGTTACATGTTTCATATACACATGAAAAGAACATGTTTTCTGGTTTTGTGAATGGAGTGTTCTGTAGAGTCAATTAGGTCAACTTATTTATATAATAATTTGTTGGGTTTTTCATATATTTAGTGATTTTTCTGTGTACTTGTTCAATCAATTCCTTAGAGAAGGGGTTTGAAGTCTTTCATTGTAAGTGTGGATTTGGCTAATTTTCATTTCAGTTATATTACTTTTTACTTCGTACATTTTGAAATGCATTTCAGAAAGATATCTTGGTGAATTAAACTTTTTCATTATGTAAGTTACCCTCTATTTCTGGGAAATTTCAAGTTCTGAATCCTACTTTGTCTGCTATTTATATAGCTTCTCCAATTTTTTTTTCATTTTTTACTCCTAATTTTTATATATACATAATGGTTGTACATACTTATGGGATAAATATAATGTTTTAATATAAGCATACAATGTGTAATGATGAGATCAGGGTAATTTGAATATCTATTGCCTTAGATATTTCTTATTTCCTTGTATTAGGAACATTTAAATTTCACTCTTTGGCTGGGCGTGGTGGCTCACGCCTGTAATCCCAGCAATTTGGGAAGCCAAGGTTGGTGGATCACTTGAGGTCAGGAGCTCGAGACTAGCCTGGTCAACATGGTGAAACCCCATCTCTAGTAAAAATACAAATAATTAGCTGGGCGTAGTAGCACATACCTGTAATCCAAGCCATTCGGGAGGCTGAAGCAGGAGAATCACTTGAACCTAGGAGGCGGTGGTTGCAGTGAGCCGGAATCGTGCCATTTGCCTCCAGCCTGGGTGACACAACGAGACTTCATCTTACATAAATAAATAAATAAAATAAATTTTACTCTTCTAGTTATTTTGCAATATATAATAAATTATTTTTAACTATAGTCACCTTAGATTTTATTCCTTCTATTTAACTGTATTTTTGTGCCCATCTATGAACCCATCTTTATCTCTCCCTCCCCAGTATACTGAGAGAAAGTAGAATGATGTTTGCCATTTGTAGATCTTCTTTGGAGAAATGTCTATCCATGTCTTTTGTCCATTTTTAATTAGATTATTTTTGTTGTTGCAGAGTTGTAAAAATTTCTAACATGTTTGGATATTAGTATCTTATTAAATATATGATTTGCAGTTACTTTCTCCCATTCTGTAGTTTTTCTTTTTGCTCTGTTAATTGTTTTCTTAAGCATGAAGAAGTTTTAAAATTTGAGAAAGTTTCATTTGTTTTTTATTTTGTTGCTGGTGCTTTTGGTACTATAATCAAAAAATCATCATTAAATCTAATGTCATGAAGCTTTTCCCTATGCTTTCTTTTGAAATTTTAATATATTTAGGGCTTATATTTAGGCCTTAAATACATTTTGAGTTAATTTTTGTGTATGCTGTAAGTTAAGGGTTCAACTTCATTATTTTGCATGTGGATATCCTGTTTTCCTATCACCATTTGTTGAGTAAACTGTTCTTATGGCCAATTGAATGTTAAAAAGGATTCACACACACAATTCAATGGCGAAAGTATAATTTTTTACCTTATCATGCTAGAAAAACTGGATAATTGCATACATAATAAAGTTAGTTCCTCACCTCACTCTATACACAAAGGTTAACTGAAAGTAAAGCAACAACCTAAGTATAAGGGTTAAACTACAAAACTATTAGGAAAAAGTAAGGATAAATTATTATGACTTTGGTAATTTGTAGATTCAATGCTATTCCTGTTAACCTACCATTGACATTCTTCACAGATTTTGAAAAAAAACCCTTTTAAAATTTATATGGAACCAAAAGGCCAGGCGCGATGGCTCATGCTTGTAATCCCAGCACCTTGGGAGGCCGAGGCAGGTGGATCACGAGGTCAGGAGATCAAGACCATCCCGGCTAACACAGTGAAACCCCATCTCTACTAAAAATACAAAAAAAAAATTAGCCAGACATGGTGGCAGGCACCTGAAGTCCCAGCTACTCAGGAGGCTGAGGCAGGAGAATGGCTTGAACCCAGAAGGTGGAGCTTGCAGTGAGCCAAGATCGCACCACTACACTCCAGCCTGGGCGACAGAGTGAGACTCCGTATCAAAAAAAAAAAAAAATGTATATGGAACCAAAAAAGAGCCCAAATAGCCAAGGCAATCCTAAGCAAGAAAGAACAAAGCTGGAGTCATCATGTTACCTGACTTCCAACTATACTATGAGGTTACAGTAATCAAAACAGTATGGTACTGATACAAGAACAGGCATATACACCAATGGAACAGAATACAAAACTCAGAAATAAGACCACACACCTACAACCATCTGATCTTCAACACACCTGACAAAAACAAGTAATGGGGAAAGGATTCCCTATTTAATAAATGGTTCTGGGAGAACTGGATAGCCATAAGCAGAAAATTGAAACTGGACCCCTTCTTTACTCCTTACACACAAATTACATCAAGGTGGATTAAAGTCTTAAATGTAAAACCCAAAACTATAAAAACCTTAGAAGAAAATCTAGGCAATACCATTCAGGACATAGCCAGGGGCAAAGACTTCATGACAAAAACACCAAAAGCAATTGCAACAAAAGCCAAAATTGACAAATGGGATTTAATTAAGCTAAAGAGCTTCTGCACAGCAAAGAAACTATCATTGGAGTGAACAGACAACCTACAGACTGAGAGAAATTTTTTTCAATATATCCATCTGACAAAGGTCTAATATCCAGAATCTACAAGGAACTTAAACAAATCTGCAAGAAAAAACAAGCAACTCCATTAAAAACTGGCCAAAGGACATGAACAGACACTTCTAAAAAGAAGACATGCATGTGCATAGTAAACATAGAAAACAAGCTCAACATCACTGAGCATTAGAGAAATGCAAGTCAAAACCACAATGAGATACCATCTCACACCAGTCAGAATAGCAATTACTAAAAAGTCAAAAACCAGCAGATGCTGGAGAGGTTGCAGAGAAAAAAGAACGCTTTTACAGTGTTGCTGGGGGTGTCAATTAATTCAATCATTTTGGAAGACAATGTGGTGATTCCTCAAAGACCTAGAGGCAGAAATACCATTTGACCCAGCAATCCCATTACTGGGTATATATCCAAAGGAATATAAGTTATTCTATTATAAAGATACATGCATGTGTATGTTCACTGTAGCACTATTCACAATAACAAAGACATGGGCTTAACCCAAATGCCCAACAATGATAGATCAAATTTTAAAAATGTGGAACATAAACACCATGGAATACTATGCAGCCATAAAAAGGAATGAGATCATGTCCTTTGCAGGGCCGTGGAAGGAATTGGAAACCATTATCCTCAGCAAACAAATGCCGGGAATGAAAACCAAACACCGCATGTTCTCACTTATAAGTGGGAGCTGCATGATGAGAACACATAGACACATGGGGGGAAACAACACACATTGGGGCCTGTCATGGTGTTGGGAGGAGGGAGAGCATCAGGAAGAATAGCTAATCAGTGCTGGCCTTAATATCTAGGCAATGGGTTGATCTGTGCAGCAAATCACTGTGGCACATATTTACCTATATAATGAACCTGCACATCCTGCACATGTTTTTCTTCAACTTAAAAGTTGAAAGGAAGAAAATCATTATGACTTTGGATTTGGCAATGGATTCTTAGATTCCAGACCCAAAACACAGAAAACAAAAGGAAATAAAAGACAAATTGGACTTCATACAAATTAAAATCTTCTGTGCATCAAAGCATATTATCAAGAAAGTAAAAAAATCTACAGAATGGGAGAAAATATTTGCAAATGATATATCTTTTAAAGATTGGTATTCATAATATATGAAGCATACTTACAACTCAACATAAAAAGACAAATAACACAATTAGAAATTGTCAAAGCATCTGCATAGACATTTCTTTAAATATAATATTAAAATGGTCAACAAGCACATGTATAGATGTTCACATCAGTGGTCATTAAAGAGATTCAAATCAAAACCAAAATGAAATAATACTTTGCTGCCATTAGGATGGCTGTAATGAGAGAAAAAATAAATTAACATGTAAGGATGTGGTAAAAAAAAAACCCTCCTATATTACTGGTGAGAATGTAAAAGGATACAGCTGCTGCTGATTACAGTTTAGTTATGCCTCAAAAAGTTAAACAGAATTGCCATATAACCCAGGAATTCAACTCCTAGGTGGTCCAAGAGAAATAAAAACATGTGTTAATACAGAAACTTACATATAAATGTTTATTAATTATGGCCAAAGATATAAATAACCAAAATATTCATCAATGGATGAATGAACAAATTCATTTTGGTATATACATACAATGAAATATTATTCGGTCATGCAAAATGATGGAGTACTGGTATAAGCCACAATTTGGGTGAACTTCAGAAACATTATGCCAAATGAAATATGCCAGACACAAAAAATCGCATATTGTATGATTATTTTCTATAAAATACTCAAAATAGAAAAATCCATAGAGACAGAAAAGCAGATTAATTGTTGCTAGGGCATAGGGGAAATAAGAAATGGGGAATGATTACTTATAAATGCTGAGTGTTCTGGAATAATGAAAACATTTTGAAATCACAAAGAGTTGGTGATTTCACAACATTGTGAATATACTAAATGCACTGAATTATTCACTTTAAAGTGTTTAATTGTATATTACGTGAATTTCACCTAACTTTTATAAAGTTACACTTGGGAGTGAATCAGGACTCAGTTTCTTTCTACTGTCATAAGCTTTCAAATTTATGGCATAAAAATACAACTTTGTTATTAGTAATTTTAAAAAGTTATTTATGTCATTTTCTTTTGTTTTTCATATTTTTACTGGTTTGGTAGATATTGGAAAGGAGATTTTGTTGTTTCATTTCATTCTACCACCTCTGTGTGGAAATCTTTAATAACCGTTTTGGAGAACAAGTTGGCAATATATAACAAGAACACACTCTTTGAGCAGTAATTCCACATCTGGAAATATATCCTAAGAACATATGTGATGAAGCTATAGATATTATTTACAGTCTTATTTGAAATAGAAAAATATTAGAGATAAGTGAAATACAGAATAAGAAGAGAAATGATTATTCAAACTGTGATATACGGTCAGCTCATTGTATCCAGATGTTCTGTTTTGTGTGTGTTTGTGTGTATGTGTGTGTACATATGCTTTTATTATTTTTGTTTTTTTCTATTTTTATGTTCAGGGGGTATAAGTGCAGGTTTGTTACATGGGCAAATTGTGTGTCAGTGAGGTTTGTGGTATGATCCTGTCACCTAGGTAGTGAGCATAGTACCCAATAGGCAGTTTTTTAGTCCTTGCCCTCTTCCTCACCTGCCCCCCTTTAGCAGTCCCCAGTGTTTATTGTTCCCAACTTTGCGTCCACGTATACCCAATCTTTAGCTACCACTTATAAGTGAAAACATGCAGTGTTTAGTTTTCTGTCCCTGCATTAATGCACTTAGGATAATGGCTTCCAGCTCCATCAATGTTGCTGCGAAGGACATGATCTCATTTTTTTTAATGGCTGCATAGTATTCCATGGTGTGCATATACTGCATTTTCTTTATCCAGTCCACCAGTGAAGGGCATCTTGGTTGATTCTGTGCCTTTGCTCTTGTGAATAGTGCTCTGATGAACATAAAAGTGCATGTGTCTTTTTGGTAGAATTATTTATTTTCTTTTTGGTATATACCCAGTAGTGGAATTGTTGAGCAGGATGGTAGTTCTGTTTTAAGTTATTTAAGAAGTCTCCAAATTGCTTTCCACAGTGGCTGAACTAATTTACACTTCCACAAACAGTGTATAAGCATTCCATTTTTTCTACTACTTCATCAATGTCTTTTTTTTAACTTTTTAATAATAGTCATTCTGACTGGTGATCCACAGGTTCTGAATCTGAAGATTCAACCAAATTTGCATTGAAAATATACAATATGAGGCCGGGTGTGGTGGCTAATGCCTGTAATCCCAGCACTTTTGGAGGCTGAGGCAGGGGGATCATCTGAGGTCAGGAGTTTAAGACCAGCTTGGACAACATGGTGAAACTCCATCTCTACTAAAAACACAAAAATTAGCTGGGTATGGTGGTGCACGCCTGTAATCCCAGGTACTTGGGAGGCTGAGGCAGGAGAACAGCTTGAACCCAGGAGGTGGAGGTTGCAGTGAGCTGAGATTGTGCCACTGCACTCCAGCCTGGGTGACAGGTGAAAAAAAAAAAAAAAAAACGATATACAACAATAAAAATAATGCAAATTTTAAAATACAGTAAAACACTATTTGCATAGCATTTGCATTGTATTAGGTATTACATGTAATTTAAAGATGGAGGATGTGGGTAGGTTATATGCAAATAATACACACGTTTTATATAAGGAAGTTGACCAGCCATGGGTTTCAGTGTCCACAGGGGGTCCTGGAAACAATACCTCACTGATATTGGTTGTGGCTAGTAATTCCAGGAACAATTGCAATGAAGAAGTATACTCTTTGGAGGGTAGTTTAAATCTAACTATTCTATAAGTCATTTATTATGAGGACATAATTCATACACAGTCACCGCCTTGCCTAGAAATGGGTGTAAATAATTTGTATTTCTTGTTTGGTATTCTGACCTATTGCCAAATTTTAATTATTCATGAAGTTTCTATGCATTACATTTTACTGAAAATGGAGGCTTTAAAAATCACTGGTAATTTGAAAATCCAAACTGGGATGATAACATGCTCAGGTGCTAATTTATTTATATAAATTAATTGCAGGCCTCTGCTGTAAACCAATTAGCATCCGACACTTAATGGAGTCATTATCTGTCAGATTAGCTTCTAGGAATGCTTGTCACTACTACAGGACTCAACACCAAAACTTTGCTAATAAAAGTAACAGAATTAGTGGAGTCAACAGCATAAATAATGACTTAATGTGGAACATACAGTATAGAAAGAGACTGATCAGCTGTCTTCAAAAAATAAACATATCAGAGTGGAAGCTACTTTATTTTTCAGAAAATGAGTTTAAACCATGGTATTCAAAAAATAAAGTTATTTGTAGTCATCTTAAAATTGTGTCAGAAGAAGTCATATCCAACTTTCTTGCCTAGTTGTCAGATGACATTGTGTGCAAATAGAAATGAGTTGTTTTACTGGAGCGTCAAGTGGCTATTTCTAATGGCTTGAAAGGCCTAGAAGGAGAAGGTTTCGGGGGCAGGGGGGGGGGTCACTAACAATGTATCAATCAAAGAAAAGAGCCAGTAGTGCTCACAGAGAGTCATGCAGCAAATTTGTACATATCACTAGTGGTGGGAAGAGTAATTTCAGAGGTAGACTGGGGTAAAAAAAAATGCATTTTGGTTTAGAGAGAATACAACTGAATATTAAGTATTCATCAGCAAGACATGTAGGCAGATCCCTTTCACAACAAAACCCCATAAAAAGTTGCCAATAATCGGTAAAGGCTAGATAGCTTTGCTCAGGATGGTAGAGCAAGTGAATTAGCACAAAATTTGGTCTCCTAAGAAATGTATACCTTTTTTGAAATACAATGTGAAATTTTCTTTTAAGTTTGGGCTATTCTGATTTGGCATTATTATAATATTTCTCTCTTTATACTTTAGCACTGTCACGCAGAACAAGGAGGAGTCTATTATAAACTTGATCTGAACATCTAGATATTAGCTGTAAGAACAATTGTGGGGACTAGTGATTTAATAGTTTACGAGTCTTATCATTAACTTGGGAATTTCTTTGGAGGCAAAAGTGAGCATGCCAGGGGATTTTTTTTTTTTTTTTGTCTTTCAAATGTCCTAGTATGAGCTGTGTACAAAGTTTACCTTTAAGAAATTTTGTGAATTGGTTATCATTGAATAACTAGCTTTTGGCCACAGTAGCACTTAATAAGTTAGCAGCTATTGATAGGGATTAACTTAGTTTATCTTAACCAACACAATCAAAAGCATAAGCTATAATTTTAGAATATATCTGGAGAGATTTTTAAAGCCTAGAATTAGTTGGTATCTCTGTTTAGAATGCAGTTCCCTGGTCCCAACTCAGCCTTAAGAAATCAACATGTCTGGAGTTTGGCCCATAAATCTCCAAATTAAACAAATGTAACAGAAGATTCTGATATAAACTATTATTTGAAAACTAGTACATGCTGATGAGTACCAAATCCACGTTGGTAGTAGGATATCTATCTGGTAACTAATTCACACCACCAAAACACAAATGGTACTTGAGGTAGTGAGCTGAATCTCATTCATATAATATTAGACCAATTACTTCACTTTACGAATTAGGAATTAAGTCCCAGTTAGGTTAATAACTTGCCTAAATTTATTGGCAGTGAGATTGGGACAAGACCTGACCAAATTGTCTCCAAATTCAGTGCTTTTTCCATCACAGTGATGGAAATAGGTACGAAAATGAAGTTTGAAAATAATTCTGTTTGAATAAGGCAAAATAGTTGCAGAAGAATAAAATGATGTGGATTATCAGTTTTACTGATTTTATTCAAAATTATTTTTTAATAATTGTAATAAATAAGGATTCATATACCCAGTAGATTGTAAATAAGGATTAATTGTAAATAAGGATTCATATACCCTGAGATTTCTAGACTCTACATAGTTTAGGAGCTATATTGTAAACAAAATAACCTTGAAGTCTTAAATTTAGAGATATTTGATGATAGCAATTCACAGCTACAAATGCTTTTAAGCGGCTTTCACTTTTTATTTTTTAAATTTTTGCTGTGGCAGTTTATGTATAGCAGTCTCATTAAGGAACTGGGGAAAAATAACATCAACTAGTCACAGACATTTTAATATTAACCACATATGGTTATGGACTCTTTCTGTAATTATGTACTGCAAAGACAATGATTTATTACTAAAGCATGGTCATTTCGTTGTCAGTTTTAACCTCTACATCCTTGAAAATACCACAGTGCATAGTCTAATTAGCATTAAAACCATAACAGATCCAACCAATGAGACACCAAATCTGGCATTGTGTCCAACAGTGGCTAAAATTGGAAGCTTCACTGAAAATCATACCTCACCCCACACCCAATGAACCTAATTGTGAAATACTATATTAAAGAAGAAAATGTCTTCCTGACCGCAGCTGGTGATCAGTGTATGCCCTAAAGCATAAGAATTAATAGTCCTTGTGATTTTATCCTGGCTAGTGTGCCTACAGAACCTAATTTGTATACATCTAACCCCCTTTTTAACATCTTGCAAAAATTCGATAGTATCCTATAGCAATGGTTTTCACAGATCATAAAAAAAATTCAGCACCATAGATGACACAACACTGGTATTCTATTTGGGGAAATGAAGAAAAAGTAAAAACAGCTTTTACATGTTTTGAATGCAATGGAAACAATTAACACGAAAGCTATGAGCTATTTTCTTGACGATTTACAAAAGAAGGTGATTTTATTTGCATTCAAAAAGCATTAGGCTTTAGACTTTTTTAATCAAAGAAGGTTATTACTTATAGGAAGCTAGCTTTTTGTTTAATAATAGTTAATACAATGCTTAATGACTCCTCCCATCCCTGCAGACAATATTTTAATTATACAATGCAGAATATTGCATAATTATTTGGAAAATCTCTAATTTTAATATTTTTCCCAAACTATCTCTCTCCCTTCACACGTAAATGACCCATGGCTATTATTCTTTTACTACTGGATGTTGTTCCTTGACAGGAATCTATGGCCCAATGATTTTTACCTCTGATTATTCCAGTGCAAACTTAAACTGATGCATTATTCTGATTTTTAGTATAGTAATCTGGTCCTTGCTCCCTCATAAAGAATTGTTATAATTGCTCTTACAGTGACAAATCTAATTCAGTGGACGTATCTTAATATCTTTAGGTAGAAAAAGAGTTGTATGCTTCAATGTCTACTCTCTCAGTGCAGGCATACCCTCTACCGACTCTAAAGGAAGCTTTCTGGTTTGTGCTTAAACACCTCAGTGACTGGTAATTCACTAACTCAGTCCACTGCAGCCTTCTAGTCAGTTAAGTACAATTGTCCCTCATTATCAGTGGCTGATTGGTTCCAGGACCTCCCTTGGACATCAAAATTTTTGGATGCTCAAGTCCTTAATATAAAATGTTGTGTACTATTTGTATATAACCTATGTGCATTTTCTCGTATACTTTATATCATCTCTAGCTTACTTATAATACCTAATACAATGTAAAGGCTATGTTAATAGTTGTTACACTGTATTGTTCAGAGAATAATGACAGGAAAAAAAGGGCTTTACCTGCTGTGTACAGACGCACATAATTTTTCAAAACACTTTTGATCAGTGATTGGTTGAACCTACACATGCTGAACCCAGGGAGACAGAGAGCCAACTGTTATTTACTGAGCATCAGCTCTTGGAAGAGCACCACATTAGTAAAAGCTTATCCCAATCTAATCAGGGAGACTTGCACATATGCCACTTTCATGCAAAGGTGAGTATAATTAATGATATTTTAAACACAAAGTACCTGTGGAACCATTGTAGAAAAAGAGATTCAAATCTAACCCAGGAAATCTTTGTGAGCTTTCTGAAAGAAATGAGATTAAAGTGTGAGGGTGTTTGTTTGCTACAAGAAAAAGAGACTTGTTTAAATTATCTCAAAAATAAGGGAGTGGTGTTTGCATCCAGACGGAAATACAGACGTCATTGGAATAGAAACAGCTCAAAGGATCTAGCTACTTTTTTCAAATTCTCTAAGGAGCCAGTTTGTCCTGGTGTCTTATGGGATGTTTTCTCTCAGCATAACTGATTTCTTCTTTGTTTTCCATCCCAATCGACTAATTCTTTCTTTTTTTTTTAAGGCAGTATCTCACTCTGTCACCCAGGCTGAAGTGCAGTGGCACGATCATAGCTCACTGTGGCCTCAAACTCCTGAGCTCAAGTGATTCTCCCACCCTGGCTTCCCAAAGTGCTAAAATTACAGGCGTAAGCCACTGTGCAGAGCTCAATCAACTAATTCTGCTTTCACTTAGTTTCTGCCCACACTTAACTTCATTTTGCTCATGGCTCATCATGATCACTGCTGTTTCCTTATTCATTATGGCTTTTCCTCTTCTTACTGCTAACTGGGAAATCAGGTTTTGGTTAAGTTTATCTAAGCCATAAGCCTGACTAATCATATGCCTTGTATTGATGGCCAGAACGGATCTCAACATATGATGCCTAATCTTACACACATAGCTATGGCAGAGTGGGGAAAGGTGGAGGCAAGTGGAATCACTTGGCACAAAATGGTGAAGTGGTTATAGGCTTGAAATTTTCCTTAAAAGTGATATTTGTGAAAATCAGGCAATTGAACATTTAGCCAGTCAAGTGAAATATAGTGGTAAAAACAACTAGAAAGGTAGGTTGATATTAAATGGTAATGGTCCTTAAATACTAATCTAAGAAACATAGATTTTTCTCTACATGTCAGGAGAAGTTTTCAAAGCTTTTTGTGACTGGGGATCATAATAATAATAGCCAGTACTTTTATAACACTTACTATATTACAGGCACCATTCTAAGTATGTTATGTGTGATAATTCATTGAACATCATTATGAGTTAGCTGTTGCAGCAACGAGGCATGACTTGGAAGAAAATTCTAGTGACCGGGGTGAAAGTGCAAATTAGAAAACTGTTAGAGTAGTTTTGAACTCTAGGAAGCAGGAATAACTAAACCAGGGAACAGACAAAAAGATAATGGATTGAAAACAAGAGACTTTCATAGTTAGATCTTATAAGATTGCTAACTGACTGGATGTTCAAGGAAGAGTGAAAGATGCCTCTGAGATACTGATTTTAAGCAGCTTGAAGGAGAGACATAAGGGGATACAGGAGAAACAGTAATTTGGCAGAGAAGATGAGTTTGTTGAAGTGTTTGTGGGAAATCAGGTGGAAAGTTTTGCATAAAGTGGTCTGGTACTTGAGAGAAAAGTTAAGGTGAAAGAGATTTGAAACCCATTCCTCATGACTATATGAGAGTTTGCAGTGTACAATATGAAAGCCTAGTAGGAAATGCCTATTTAAGGTTGGGGAAAATTACCATTAAAGGAGATGATTATAGAAACGTGGTCTGTAGAAGTGAAAAGAACTTTAGAAATCATACACTTTTAACATTCTAATTTTGAAGATGTTCAATCCAGAGATAAATGGTTTGCCCAAGTTTACAGCATAAGTTATTGCCAAAGCTGAAGCTAGATCTCTGATCCACCAAAGAAGACCCAGAAAAGTCCCTTATCACAGGAAATTAAGGGAAAGAGAGTTAATCGCAAAGATATTGAAAAGAGCTGAAGAGAAATTTAGCTTGATGAATACTCAGAAGAGGTCATTGAATTAAGCAATTAGGAGTTTACTGTTGGACAATTTTTGTTATTGAAATATTAATTAAATCATTCTTTCTTGAACAAAAGGCACTCTTCACCCAGTAACTTCAACCAAATGGTCCTTGTTTTCATTTTCCTCGATGGGCAAATATTGCTCCCTTTTCTTTTCTCCTTACTTTGTGTGTTTGTTATTTCTTTCTTCTCTCCCTTGTTTCTAGCCCATTTCCTTCTTTCTCCATCTTTTTTCACAATGTGAAAGTGTATTGAAGTTTAGTGTTTTTCAGTACCTGATGCTTTTTAAAAATTTGACGAATATATTTTTTCTTTGAAAATATTTCATCCAATGTTAAAACGTCAAAAATTACTGTCCTTGATTTCTTTCAATGATTTCATGCATACTATTTCTATCTCTAAAATTGTTTTTCCTTTTTGCCATTTCATACAATTTGCCTTATTTTATTTTATTGATCATCTTTCTTTGTTAGGCAGCATGGTTTAAATGCCTAAAGCACAAAACACACCTATAGAGTCTTGGCCCTATCAACTGTTTTTCTGTGAGACCTTGGGTGGGTACTTTCCTGGGTCATAAATTCCTAATCTGTCAATTGAGGATAATGCCTCCCATGCTTATTTTTAGGAAACAATTGTTGGGAATATTGAAGGAGTAGTTTGGATAACATCACTTATATAAAAATGGTTTGAAAAATAAAATCATACTTTGCAGAAACAGGTTCTTACATTTGTATGAAATTATATCGTGGAAAAAGCATTGTCTTTGGAGCCACACAGAATCCAAGTTTGAATTCTAACTCTAGCATTTACTAGCTGTTTGATTAGGGCAAATTACCTAAATTTTGTAGACTTAAGTTTCTTCATCTGCATTAAGGGGATAATAAGAACTCATTTCCTGTAGTTGTGAGGATTTATACATTTATATAAAATGTATTTTATGTACATATATAAACACATGTAAAAATATATGTATATATGTATATATGTTTTTATACGTATATGTATATATGTATATATGTTTTTATACGTATATGTATATATGTATATATGTTTTTATACGTATATGTATATACATGTATGTGTTTTATACATATGTATATACATCTATGTATTTTATATACATATACATGTATAAAATACATATATACATATTTTACACATATATGTATTAGTATTTTATACATAATACATATATTATTTTATACATAAATACATATATTTTACATTAGAAAAAATAAATCTTATTGTATCTTATAATAAGATGTAATATCTTATAATTACATCTTAATATCTTATAAGAGTTAATGTATGTATATATAAAAATCACACACATATATACATAGACTATATATGTATATATACATACATATATACACATACACATATATACATATATACACATATATACATACACACACACACACACATATATATATATATATATATCTTCTTTCATTAGGAAAAAAAAGACTCTTATTACAAGGTGATTTTCTTTATAAGCAATTATGCTGTGTTTGCTCCAAAAGATAATTTTGTGAAACATGGCCTATATTTGCTCTGACTTCATTCTGCCTAACCCAAGCTTGCCATACAAGATACCAAATGAAGTATTAACATATTGAAAAATTATCTAGAAAGTCTTATTACATAGTACCACCCTGTGTTCACAATTGCTTCAATTTTACATTTATTTTGTTATTTAAAATAATCATTCTGACTATAAAAGTAATTCATGCTCACTCTTAGGGATTGAAATAAAATTAAGACAGGTATTAAGGTATGATGAATAAACAGAAATAATCTATAATCCCATCACACACTGTATATACTTTTCTGCAATATCTTCTATTAGACATAAACAATTTTAACAGAATTCCAAATTCAGACACAGTTAAATAAAACAAAGCAAGCCCACTTCAAAATTTAGTCTAAGCCCAGACAAAGTAAAATTCACTGTACCTCTCACAAAATACCAAGCACGCTCTCTCTCAGAAAAATTGATGACTGATACTCTTTTACTACAGCTTTATGTATTTGTATAGGTCCCTCTCCTGCCTATAGGTAAGATTTACTGGGATAACCCGTCATATAATTCCCTCTGTCCTGCTTTCTGCTGACATCTAATATAAAGCAAACCCCCACTTCCTTAGACACTTTCCCAAATCACCCAACCAAAACCCAAATCCTGTAATATATTCTAATACCCTCTTACTGAGACATCCCATTTTTCTCTATGGTATGTGATATCCTTTGTTGCAATGAGAAGTAAATTCAACTTGTTTAATTACAAGAATGTGTATTAACCATGTGTTTCTGATGCTTTGACATCTGGAGGCTTGTTGATTCAGGAAAGACTGCACCTCTCAGGGTTAGCCAAATCCTAGAGATAGTAAATAACTTGCCTGTGAGTGTGCCTTTCATATGCAAACCAATCAATCTAGAGCCTATACACCAGCCATCATTTTTATCTGAGCTTTCACAGTGATCTCACACTCTGGGTCTCTATTACTTGTCCTAATCACCTCAAGGCCAGATACCAGACAGACAGCCCCTATGCCCCAGAGCCTTCTGAAATTATTCAAACTAGCCAATCCTAACCTGCTTACCCTGCCTTGCCTGGTTCTTCACATAGGAATCACAAGAAGGACTCTTGGCCACATTTACCTCTTGCTTCCTCTGCCTCTTGACTACACTGATGCTTTCCCTCAGTGTGGCTTGGTATGTCTCTTGTTCTGAGAAATCTGTCAGTATAAAAATTTCTTTCTTCATGACAGTCATTTTTGTGTCCGCACATTTTACCATAACAACTTTATTTAAATCTTGCACACATTTTAAAGCAAGTGTTTTATGTATAAATAAATATATAATATATAATACATATATAATATATAATAAAGTATATATAATAGTCTTATATATTATTAAAATAATATATAAACTCAGTTATTTGACTTTGCAGATTTAGTAGTTTTATTTAAAAGGAGTTATTTTATTTTTTAGTCAATTAAGTGTAAATTTTTTTAATGTTTAATGTTTGATTTTTCTTTTACTAGGCAGGAATTGAGACTAGTAAACTCTCTTGTTTAATAGTGAATGCATGACAAACCTGATGATATAAAATGGCAGAGCTGGGCCAGGCCATACACCTTCAAAGAAAATGGTAGCAGGGAACATTGTCTTCATGCTGGCTAGAGCATTTAATTCTGAGGTTCCAGCAATGTTTGATTCCAAATAGAATCATTTTCAAGCAATAGGACATATATGAGCACATTATAGACGTCATCCACATACAGATGGCTCAAAATTGAACTGTTACTCATACATACATTTGGGACTATATGAAATGCAGTCAGCCTTCCATATCTATGGGTTCCACATTTGTGGATCCAACCAACCACACTGATCAAAAATATTCTCAAAAAGTTATATCTGTACTGCACATACTTTTTGTCCTTATTATTTTCTAAAAATACAGTATAACAACTATTTACGTAGCATTTACATTGTATTAGGTATTGTAAGTAATCTAGAGTTTATTTAAAGTATTTGGGAGGATATGCACAGATTATATGCAAAAACTACACCATTTTATCAGGGACTTGAGCATCCACAAATTTTGGTATCTGAAGAAGGTCCCAAAACTAGTTCTCCATGGATATCAAGGGATGACTATAGGGATTCTGCTATGATGTTTGAATCTAAGGGTATTATGAACCTTGACTTTTCAAGTTACTGAAAGCTTTTTAAAAATAAATAATATAGATATCTTCTTTTAAGATTATGATTTTTGTCTATAAATTCCTAAATAACATTGCCAGAATTTTTATCATTAGTCACTTAGCAGCCCCTGTGTTACTGGTGACTATGTTGAAATATCATATACTGTAACTAATCTGCACTCATTATTATATCTCTCACATGAAAAACAGTGGGGAATGTTCTATCTAGGTAACTGGATGAAATATGGGCTTATAATGATGAAAAACATGTTCCACCAATTTTTTATTTGCTGCCAAGAAATCTGTAGTGAGAAAGACTTAATCTAAGGCCCCTTTCTTTCTAATACACTTAAAATAAAACTGTTTCTCTCTCTCTTTTCTTTTCTTCTCCTCTTCGCTAACTTGCACTGTTTTAACGGAAAATAATTGTACATGTCACAGAACTAAGAGTGTATAGCTTTAGGGTATTTACAAAGATAGCTTGTAGTTAGTGGATATCCTAAACTCCAAGAGGAAACATGATGTCAGTCCCATTATCTATTTACTTAATATGTAGGATCACACAACTTTTGAGTCAGAAGTCAGGCTGAAAAATTGGTGGCACATGCTTTTCTTCATCTAGTTTAGTTCACCTTTCCATTCTAGTCTTTTCTGCACATGCTGGCCCTCTCAAATATTTGAAGACGATTTCCACAGTTCCTCATGCAATATAGGAACAGATATTTTACCTACCCAGCTACATATCTCTGGTTGCCTCTGTTTATTAATGCTATTTTAAAAATGTACAATGACATTGTAGATTTGATCTGAAGTCAGATCCAAACTCAGATCAAATCTATAATGTTGTAGTACATTTTTAAAAAAAGCATTAAGATGTTATTTGTGTAGATGAAGGTAACATGCTGTTTGGCTCATACAGATCTTGTTGTCAACTGAACTCCACAGGTTTTTAGGATGTCTTCTCATTTTTGTACTTGGGAAATTGTTTTTTTAACCTTACTTTATGACTTTCCATTTAATTAATTAGGCTTCACATTTTTAGTGTTAGTCCAGTATTTGTTATAAATAACTAAAATAATTCTCTAAAGTAAGAGTCAGCAAACATTTTCTGTATAGGGCCAGATAGTACATATTTTCAGCTTTGCCACCTATAGAGTCTCTGTTGCAACTACCCAACTCTGCCACTGTAGTGCAAGCGAACCATAAACAATTCATAAACCAATGGTGTTGCTATGTCCCAATAAAATAACATTTACCAAAACGAGCAGTGAACTGGATTTGGCCTATGTGCTTTAGTTTGTCTATCTCTACTCTAAAATGTTGTCTGTATAAGCCTGCCTGCAGTCTTCTGAGAAGAATGTCCATAGCTTTCCTCAAATACTTGAAGGGGTCCAGGTCCCAAAGTAAGATGATGAACATGTACCATAAGGAGTCTGTCTAAATATGTTCTTGCTGTTTTATTTTCATTTCCATGTAGATTGACAGTCCGAGTTTACGCCTATTGCTTCCACATCCTGTCTGATTAACACCCTCTTTAACTCTCAAAAGTTTATCAGTTAAGAACTATATGGTTACTGTATTAATATGCCATATAAATGTGGTCTCTTTTAGGTCCTGAGAATTTTCTAAAGCTTGAAATTTATTCAAAATATGTAACCTAACTATCCAGGCAAGTGATATTCCAAAAACAAGTACATTGTTATTTTTTAACTCTATTTAATTTAAAAATGGCAGATTAAAGAATGAGAGACAAAGGGCTATATTGCTGAACCAAATGAAGGTTTAAATTACCTCTGGGTTGAGAAGAATTGAAGGGAAAATAAAGAGAAAGACAGGGACTGAGTTCAAAAAACTAGTACTGAGGCAGTAATAAAGGGGAACATACACACATGGTCCCTCTTTGGGAACACGAGCACAAAATGTGTGTTTTTTAGTCTAGTGAAAAGGGAAAGGTTCCTTCATCCCTCTCACAGGGCGTGCAGTGGGGATGTGGCTCGCTTCTTCAGTGCTCCGCTGCTCAAACCTCTAGAGTAGCATACAGACAGACAGGCTATGGGGCTCCGACCCCACGGCAGAGTCTAGGAGTGAATGTTTACAGCTGAAGCCCCAGTGGGCATGTGTTACAGGGTTCTCTTTTAGTTTGCCATCTACAGGCAGCTTGTGTTGACAAGCTCAGTTAGACCCTCTACCTTGTCGCAAGGACAGAGGGTTTTCTGTATCCCAGGTTCTTGCCTTGGTGTACCAGAATAATCAGATCACACCTGGGCTTGGAGAATGAGTGTACAGTTTTATTGAGTGGAAGTAGCTCTCAGCAGATAGAAGAGCCAGAAGGCAGATGGTCTTCCCCTGGAGTTGGGCTGCTCTGTGACCCCGGCTCTCCTCCGATTGTCCGGGCTAAACTCTGCCTCCTCCCGCCGGTCTGCCAGCCTGCCTGCGTCTGTCCATATGCTCTTTCCCCCAGCGTGTTTGTGTTTTCTTCCACTGATATGCTCCTTTTGATGTCCGGCCACCTATGTCTGCCTGCTACGGTCTCAGGGTTTTTTTTTTATAGGCGTGGCAGGCCAGGGTGGTCTCGGGAAATGCAAGATTTGGGCAGAAAATGCCTATCCTCACCTAGGTCCATGAGGGTGGAGCCCTAGCCAGGGACCACACCCTCCTCTACCCAGCACTTCCCTTCTCCTTTCCATATCATTTAAAGTGACCGCGGATTTCCCTTCTCAGCACTCCTGTATCACTACTTCTGTGTGGAAGAGTAGAAAAATGGTTAAGATTTTTTAGAACCTCCTGAGAACTTCAGAAATTAAAAACAGGAGACTGCTAAGACTTTGAGAGGCAGTTGCAGTAGGGAATTGGGCTTCTTAGGCCCGTGTACTCTTTACCAACAAGAACCTTTTTTCTGAGATCTCTTTTCTGAATAGAGAATTAGATAATTCTGCTTCTAAGAAGAATAGGGTTCTAGAGCTGTTCTTTTATTAGATATCTGTTGATTTTGCAAGCCATTCCCTCTCCCTGGGCTTCAGCTGCCTCATTTTGTTATGTGGGATAATAATCTGTACACTGCCAGTAGAGATTTTGGGAAAAAGAAACAACAGAGTGGCTTTGGTAACACTGAAAAAAATTGGAATTTTTAAAATCACATTTTTATTTCTTATTAATATGTGTTTTCCTGAGTTTTTTTTTAAAGCTAACCTTAGAGCTATGTCCTTAACTTCGTATCTGTGATAATTGTTGTTTTTATCTTTCTCCTCATAAAGTATGCTAAATATAGTCTGTGTGAACATCCTTTTTTTTTCTTCAAGTTGTAGGCCAGTCTGGCCCCCAACATCATAAAGTGAGTTAGAGTATATGTCTCCCTCTTTATGAGCCACACATATTTTAAAGATCTGGGTAAGTGCTCTTTTATTCTTTATGATAATAAATAAATAAATAAATAAATAAATAAATAAATAAATACAATGTGAAAAAAGAATTATAAGAAGTGTGGCCGGGCACAGTGGCTCACGCCTATAATTCCAGCACTTTGGGAGGCTGAGACGGGCAGATCACGAGGTCAAGAGATCGGGACCATCCTGGCCAACATGTTGAAACTCCGTCTCTACTAAAAATACAAAAATTAGCCAGGCGTGGTGGTGCGTGCCTGTATTCCTAGCTACTCGGGAGTCTGAGGCAGAAGAATTGCTTGAACCCAGGAGGCGGAGGTTGCAGTGAGCTGAGATCGTGCCACTGCACTCCAACCTGGCGACAGAGCAAGACTGTCTTAAATAAATAAATAAATAAATAAATAAATAAATAAATAAATAAAAGAAGTGCATAAGCACTCTATTTTTCTCTACTTATTATTTGTGAATGTTCATTCAATATAAGCAGCTATTTTCAGGTAGAGCTTAGGCATGATTTCTTTTTTTGTTGTTGTTAGATGGCAGGTGCTTTCCATCCCGATATAACTATTCTTTATTCGCTATCAATCTGAACTTTAAATTTAGATTATTCCTCTAAAGACATGAAATATTAGAGATGGGTTTTAATGAAGCAGTAATATTGATAATCCCTTCTCTGTGTGCTTCATTATGCTTCATCATTTACAAGGCCCTTTGAGTTAAGCAAAACTGGTGGTAGAGTTCTGTCTTTACATGGGGAGAAACTGAGGCTCTAAAAACATGGGGGAAGACCTACCTGGACTCCAAACAAACTAATAGAATTACCAGCAATAAAACCCACGTGAGTTTCAAAGTACTTTTAATTTATTTCCTTTCTTTTGTTTGATTCAGGTAAAGCTATTCTGATAACAATCTAGTGAGGTAAATAACAATAATTGAAAAGTAAAATTGTTAAGTCATACTAAAATTAAAAAAGATACCTACATTTTACTTCAAAATCTGCAAAAAAAGATGACATTTTTGCCTTAAATGTACATTATGAAAATCCAAATTAAAGAATTATGGATAAATATTTTGATCTACTTAGTAACTCATGATTGGTTAGTAGAGGAACCATGGCTTAAGGCCAAAAATTCAGTAAATTGCAAAGCCTTGCACTAGGGTATCATCATTGAAGAGTATTTACGTATTAACACTAACCTTATGGTAGCTGTTGCTACAGATTTCGTTTTATATGGACATTTTGAAAAATCAGTCTTCTACCCATTAATGAGAACATACTCAAAACAGCTTGTTTTCTTGCATACTTTTCTCCTAACAACTAGTTATTGACAGTCAACAATGTGCTAATCTCTGTGCGATATAAAAAAAGAAGTAGAAGGCATACTCCCTGACCTAGAGTAGTGTATGCCCTGGCTGGAAAAATTAGATAACCCCCAGAGTGCAAAATAAAATGCCACAAAGCAGTATATTACCACTGTTCAGACTATATGCAGTAAGGGACATAATCTCTGGATGGTGCAGCTGTTTGTGTGTGCCCCAAGTAGCGTGGATTTTTAAAGGAAGTAATGGACTGTGTATGCATCATAGTTCAAAGGAAATATACATTATTAGGTTTTCAGAAGTCTATAATGGTTAATAGTGGAGGTCATGGTAACAGATTACTTGGGTTTCAATCCTGGCACAGTCACTTGCTAACTTGAGCTTAGGTTCTCAGTGCCTCAGTTCATCTTTTATAAGATGTGAGCATTAATAGTAACTAAATAATATAGTGGTTGCAGAAATTAAATGAGATATTTCATCTAAATTAGTTCAACCATTGTAGAAGACAATGTGGCAATTCCTCAAATACCTAAAAACAGAAATACCATTCAACCCAGCAATCCTATTAATGGGTATATACCCAGAGGAATATAATTCATTATATCATAAAGCCACATGTATGTGCATGTTCATTGCAACACTATTCACAATAGCAAAGACATGGAATCAGCTTAAACGCCCATCAATCATAGTCTGGATAAAGACAATGTGGAACTTGTAGATGATGGAATACTATGCAACCATAAATAAAGAGACCATGTCTTTTGCAGGGACATGGATGAAGCTGGAGGCCATTATCTTTAGCAAACTAACACAAAAACAGAAAACCACATACTGCATGTTCTCGCTTACAAGTGGCAGCTAAATGCTGAGAACACATGGACACACAGAGGGAACAACACACACTGGGGCCTATCAGAGGTTGGAGGGTGGAAGAAGGGAGAAGATCAGGAAAAATAACTAATGAGTACTAGACTTAATTCCTGGGTGATGAAATACTTTGTACAATAAACCTCCATGACACAAGTTTACCTATCTAACAAGCCTGTACATGTACCCCTGAACTTAAAATAAAAGTTAAAAAAATGAAATACTCTACCTAAATATCTAAACATAGGGTCTGGAAAATTGTATATGATTAAATTTATAACTGCTATTATTAGTTTTTACCTGTTATAGTTTGAATTGTGCCCCCTGCCAAATTCATACATTTAAAGTCCTAATCTACAGTATCTCAGAATGTGACTTTATTTGGAAATAAGGCCATCCCAGTTTTTGTTTGTTTGTTGTTTTATCAATGGCTTTCCTGTTAACTTTCATCTTACGATCAGGGATACATGTGCAGGTTTGTTATATATGTAAATGCATGTCACAGGAGCTTGGTGTACAGATTATTTTGTCACTAAATTTAGTATCTAATACTTATATTTTTTCTGATTGTCTCTCTCCTCCTACCCTTTCCCCACAAGTAGACCCCAATGTCTGTTGTTACCATATGTGTGTCCATGTGTTCTTATCATTTAGCTCCCACTTATAACTGAGAACTGGTGGTATTTGGATTGCTGTTTCTGTATTAGTTTGCTTAGGATAATGGCTTCCAGCTTCATTCATGTTGTTGCAAAGGACATGATCTTTTTTTTTTTTTCATTGCTATGTATATTCCATAGTGTATATGTACCACATTTTATTTGTACTGTCTGCCATTGATTGGCATTTAGGTTGATTCCATGTCTTTGTTATTGTGAATAGCTTTGAAGTGAACATACGTGTACATGTGTTCTATGGTAGAATGATTTATATTCCTTTGGTTATATACCCAGTAATGGGATTGTTAGATAGAATAGTGGTTTTGTTTTTAGCTCTTTGAGGAAGTGTCACACTGCTTTCCTCACTGGTTGAATTAACTCACACTCCCACCAACAGAGTATAAGCATTTTCTTTTCTCTGCAATCTCGCCAGCATCTGTAATTTTTTTGACTTTTTTCTCATTGCCATTCTTACTGGTATGAGATGGTAGTTCACTCTGGTTTTAATTTGTATTTCTCTAGTGATTAGTAATATTGAGCTTTTCTCATTTACTTGTTGGTCTCATGTACATCTTCTTTTGAAAACTGTCTGTTCATGTCCTTTGCCCACTTTTCAATTGGGTTGTTTTTTGCTTTTACATCAGTTTAGTTCCTTAGAGATGCTGGATATTATACCTTTGTGAGATAAATAGTTTGCAAATATTTTATCCCATTCTGTAGGTGGCCTTTTTACTCTATTAATAGTTTATTGTACTGTGCTGAAGCTCTTTAGTTTAATTAGATCTCATTTGTCAATTTTTCCTTTGTTTGCAATTGCTTTTGACGTCCCATGAAATATTTTCCACCTCCTAGGTCGAGAATGCTATTTCCTAGGTTTTCTTATAAGGTTTTTATAGTTTTGGGTTTTACATTTAAGTCTTTAATCCATCTTGAGTTAATTTTTCTATATGGTGTAAAGAAGGGGTCCTGTTTTAATTTTCTGCATATGGCTAGTCAGTTATTCCAGCGCCACTTACCCTTTCCCCATTGCTTGTTTTTGTCAAGTTTGTCAAAAATCAGATGGTTGTAGGTGTGCAGCCTTATTTTTAGACTCTCTATTATCTTCCATTGGTCTCTATATCTATTTTTGTACCAGGACCATGTTGTTTTGGTCATTGTAGCAGTGTAGTATAGTTTGAAGTCAAGTAATGTGATTCTCAAGCTTTGTTCTTTTTGCTTAGGATTTCCTTCACTATTCAGGCATCCTTTTTGGTTCCAAATGAATTTTTAAATATGAATATTTTTTCTAGTTCTGGAAAGAATGTCTTTGGTAGTGATACAGAAGTGCTGGGATTGGAAGAGTGTTGTCCCTTTAAATGATATGGAAGGGGGAAAGGGAAGTACGGGGTAGAGGAAGGCGTGGTCCCTGGCTAGGGCTCCACCCCCACTGACTAGGTGAGAACAGGCACTCCTGCCTTTGTGCCCACCATGTCCCCATCCTGTGCCTATAAACCCCCCCTGAGACCCTAGCAGGCAAACACACCAGTGGTTGGACATTGTGAGGAACACATTGACGAAAGGAGACACAGAGGCAGCTGGACGTCAAGAAGAACCCATCAGTGGAGGAACACACAGGCGGTTGGACCTCGAGAGGAACCCACTGACAGGCACCAGCTTGCCGGCAGGCCACCGACCAGCAGAATGAGATGGAGTTTGGCCAGGGCTGTCTGAGGAGAGCCTGGGCCGCCGAACAGCTGGACTCCAAGGGAAAACCATTTCCCATCTGGCTCCCCCATCTGCTGAGAGCTACTTTCACGAAATAAAACCTTGCACTCATTCTCCAAGCCCAAGTGTGATTGCATTCTTTCAGTACACCTAGGCAAGAATCCAGGATATAGAAAACTCTTTGTCCTTGCGACAAGGTGGAGGGTCTAATTGAGCTGGTTAACACAAGCCTATAGACGGTAACTAAAAGAGCACCCTGTTACACTTGCTCACTGGGACTTCAGGAGCTGTAAACATTCACCTCTAGAGACTGCTGTGGGACAAGAGCCCCACAACCTGCCTGTCTGTATGCTCCCCTAGAAGTCTGAGCACTGGGGCACTGAAGAAGTGAGCCATTCTCTCTTTCACACGCCCTGTGAGAGGGCCAAAGGAACCTTTCCCATTTCATAGTTTGATAGAAATAGCATTGAATCTGTAAATTGCTTGGTCAGTATGACCATTTTAACAATATCAGGTTCTTCCTAAACATAAGCATGGAATTTTTTTTCGTTTGTGTTGTCTCTGATCTTTCAGCAGGGTTTTTGTAATTATTTTTGCAGAGATCTTTTACCTCCATGATTAACTGTATTCCTAGATATCTTATTCTTTTTGTGGCAGTTTTAAATGTGATTGCATTTGTGGCTTGGCTTTTGGCTTGGCTGTCGTTAACGTATAGGAGTCCTACTGATTTTAGTGTGTTGAGACTTTGCTGAAGTATTTTATCAGCTCAAGGAGCTTTTGAGCCAAGACTATGGGATTGTCGAGATGTAGAATCATGTCATTTGCAAACAGGCATAATTGGATTTCCTCTCTTCTTCTTTGGATGTGCTTTATTTCTTTCACTTTCCTAATTGCGCTCGTCAGGACTTCCAATACTATGTTGAATAGGAGTAGTGAGAGAAGACATCCTTTTCTTGTTCTGGTTTTCAAGGAGAATGCTTTCAGCTTTTGCCTATTCTGTATGATGCCGGGTGTGGGTTTGTCACAGGTAACTCTTATTATTTTGAGGTATGTTTCTTCAATACCTGCTTTACTGAGAATTTTTAACATGAATTATGTAGAATTTTATCAAAAGCCTTTCTTGCGTCATGTTATTTTTGCATCATGTGGAACTTTTTGCACCACGTGGAATTTTATCAAAAGCCTTTTTTGCATCATGTGTTTTTTTTTCCTTTAGTTTTGTTTATGTGATGAATCACATTTATTGATTTGTGTGTGTTGAGACAACCTTGCATCCCAGCAATAAAGCCTACTTGAACATGGTGGATTAGCTTTTTGATGTACTGCTGGACTTGGTTTGCTAGTATTTTGTTGAGGATTATTGCATTTATATTTGTCAAGGATATTGGACTGATGGTTTTTTTGTTGTTATTGTTGTGTTTGTCAAGTTTTGGTGTCAGAATGATGTTGGCCTCATAAAATGAGGTGGGGAGGAGTCCCTTCTCCTCATTTTTTTTGGAATAGTTTTAGTAGAAATGGTACCAGCTCTTCTTCATACATCTGATAGAATTTAGCTGTGAATACATCTATTCCTGGGCTTTTGAGGGATTGGTAGGCTATTTATTATTGATTCAATTTTGGAGCTCTTTATAGGTCTGTTTCAAGATTCAATAGATTCAATTTGTTTCTTGGTCTTGGGAGGGTTTATTTCTCTAGAAATTTATCCATTTCTTCTAGATTTTCTAGTTTGTATACATAGAGGTGTTCATAGCAGTCTCTGATGGTGTTTTGTATTTCTCTGGGGTAGATGGTAACATTCCTTTTGTTATTTCTAATTTTGTTTTTTTTTTTTTTTGGATCTTCTCTCTTTTCTTCTTTATCAGTCTAGCTAATGGTCTATATATCTTATTAATTTAAAAAAACTTTGCATTGTTAATTTTTTAAGTTTATTATTACTATTATTATTATTTGCATCTCACTCTCCTTCAGTTCGCATCTGATTTTTCTGACTTCTTGTCTTCTGCTTGCTTTAGATTTTTTTGCTCTTGCTTTACTTTCTCTAGGTGTGATGTTAGGTTGCTAATTTGAAATCTTTCTAACTTTTTGATGTAGGTTTTTGGTGCTGTAAATTTTCCTCTTAACACTGCCTTACCTGTGTTCCAGAGATTCTGGTATGTTGTATCTTTTTTCTCATTCTTTTCAAATAATTTATTGATTTCTGCCTTAATTCCCTTTTACCCCAAAGTCGTTTAGAAGTAGATTGCTGAGTTTCCATGTAGTTGAATGGTTTTGAGTGATTTTCTTAGTCTTGATTTTTACTTTATTCCACTGTGGACCATCAGTGTGATTCATATGATTTCAGGCTTTTTTGCATTTGATGAGGATTGTTTTATGTCCAATTGTGTGGTAGATTTTAGAGTAGGTGCTGTGTAGCAATGAGAAGAATGGATAGTCTGTTGTGGGTGGTGAGTTCTGTAGAGGTCTATCAGATTCATTTGGTCCAATGTTGAATTCAGGTCCTGAATATCTTTGTTAATTTTCTGCCTCAATGATCTATGTAATACTGTCAGTGGGATATTGAAGCCTCTCACTATTATTGTGTGAGAGTCTAAGTCTCTTTGTACATCTCTAAGAACTTGGTTTATGAATCTGGGTGCTCCTGTGTTGGGTGCATGTATATTCAGGATAGTTAAGTCTTCTTGGTGAATTTGATCCTGTACCATTATGTAATGTCCTTCTTTGTCTTTTTAAAAATCTTTGTTGGTTTAAAGCCTATTTTGTCTGAAACTAGGCTTGCAACTGCTACTTTTTTGAATTTTCATTTGCTTGGTAGATCTTCCTCCATCCCTTTATTTTGAGCCTATGGGTGTCTTTGCATGGAAGATGCATTTCTTGAAAACAGCATACCATTGGGTCTTGCTTTTTTATCCAGCTTGCCACCCTGTGTCTGTTAATTGTGGCCTTTAACCAATTCAAATTCAAGTTTAGTATTGCTATGTGTGGATTTCATCCTGTCATTGTGTTTTTAGCTGGTTATTATGAAGACTTGATTGTGTGGTAGCCTTATAGTATCACTTGTCTGTGTACTTAAGTATGTTTTCGTATTGGCTAACAATGGTCTTTCTTTTCCAGATTTAACACTACTTTTAAGAACTCTTGTAAGGCAGGTCTAGTGGTAACTAATTCCCTCAGCATTTGCTTGTCAGAAAAGGATCTCATTTCTCCTTCACTTAAGAAACTTAGTTTGACTGGATATCACATTCTTTTATGGAGATATTTTTTTCTTTAAGAATGTTGGATATTGTCTTCCAATCTCTTCTGGCTTGCAGGGTTTCTGCCCAAAGGTTGCTGTTAGCCTCATGGGATTCCCTTTGTAGGTGACCTCCCCTTTCTCTCTAGCTACATTTAACATTTTTTCTTTCATTTTGGCTTTGGAAAATCTGATGATTAGGTATCTAGGGGATGATCTTCTTGTGTAGTATCTTGCTGGTGTTCTTTGTATTTCTTGAATTTGAATGTTGCCCTCTCTAATGAGGTTGGGGAAGTTTTTGTGGATGAAATCCTAAAATGTTTTCCAATTTGTTTCCTTTCTCTTCATTTCTTTCAGGGACACAAATGATTCGTATATTTGACCTCTTGATATAATTCCATATTTGTCAGGAGTTTTGTTTGTTCTTTTTCATTTTTTTTAAATTTTTGTCTGACTGTCTTACTTCAGGCAGCCATTCTTCAAACTCTGAGATTCTGTCCTCAGCTTGGTCTATTCTGCTATTAATGCTTGCAATTGTTTTATAAAATTCTTGTAGTATGCTCTTTAGCACTATCAGGGCAGTTGGGTTTTTGTTTGTACTGATTATTTCATCTTTTAGCTCCTGTACCACTTTGTTATGATTCTTATTTTCCTTGGATCAGGTTTTGCCTTCCTTTGGAATCTCAGTGATCTTCATTCCTATCCATATTCTGAATTCTATTTCTGTCATTTCAGCCACCATGGCTCTGTTAAGAAACCCTGTTGGAAGACTAGTGCAGTCGTTTGGAAGACACAAGACACTCTGTTCATTTGAGTTGCCAGAGTTCTTGTGTTAGTTCTTTCTCATCTCTCTTTGTGGATGTTCCTTTATCTGTGGTATAGATTGAGTACAGTCAGTAGACTGCTTTTTTTTGGGTGTTTTCAGAGGGCTAAGGCTTTATGCAGGCTCTTTATTTGTAGCTGACTTCTTGTCTTTGGTTTTACAGGGGCATATGTTAGCAAAGCATTTTTGGTGTTGAAGTTTTGGGGTGTGCTCTAGTAAGTGGTGCTTTGGCATAACAGTCAGCAGGTAAGCTCTTGCTCAGTCACGTCTCCCCTATGTTTTCTCACAGTTGCAACTGTGCTCCCTCTCAATGCTCTGAAGTTTTGGGCTCCTCTCTCACTTGAGTACTGGCTGTAGATCATGGCTTGGCCTTCCTGGACTGCCCACCACAGCTCTGGGGCAATCTCGGGGTTTATGTTCCCTTCCCAACTTAAAGGCAGCAGAGGAAGGGACTTCAGCAGTGGTTGTGGCCGAGGGTCTTTCACTTATTTCCTGGAACTAGACCCCAGAGAGATGTGCAGCAGTAATCGCTCAGTGTGATCAGCCCAGGATGTGAACCCAAGCCAGTGGTGGGTTGGCGGGGCGGAGGGACTCATGGGTACAGACTGGCCTTCTTTCTTTGAGTCTGCTGTAGCTTGCTGGAGGTGTGGATAAGGCACTTAGGTCCTCGCCCCTTCACCAGTCCTAAGGTAACAGGGTTAATGCCACTGCAGAGGCAGGGGCAGAGGAGCTTTTGATTGCTCCTGAGGGCTCCACTTCCCAGAAATATGGAGAAGCTGCTACTGGGGGTGGGGTGGCTGCACTGATGGTGTGAGCTGGAGGCTCTGCTTGTTGGGGAGTAGGGGGTCAATAGCTCAGAGGGAGAAGAGACAGGTCTACTCTCCATATGCTGACTGTGGCATACTGTAAGTTTGGGTGTAGACTTCAGGCTTTTTGTTTTTTTCCCCCAGATGATCAGCAACAAGGTCAAGACCACCGCTGTAGCAGTGGCAGTGGGGGCTGTCAGTTGCATCTGGGAGCCTTGCCCCAGGAAATTCAGAGCCACGACCAGTATATTTGTTCAGCCATAGGTGTGGTAGTTGTTCTGTAGTCATGTGCCAGGGGTCCTGCCTATTGAAGAATGGGGGAGTGGGAGTTCCCAGGGTAAAGGGATTGGACTCCTTTCTGCATCGTGGCTGCTGCATCACAGTTTTAATTAGTTAAGTTATGATGAGGTCATACTGGGGTAGGCTGGGCCCCTAAATGGCTATGACTGTTGTCCTCATAAAAAAAGGAAATTTGAACCCACAGGGATAATGCCATATGAAGACTGGAGTTATGCTGCCAAAAGCTAGGAGACAAATTTGGAACAGATCTTTCCCTTGTGTCTTCAAAGGAAAAATGGACCTGCCAACACCCTGTTCTCAGACATCTAGCCTACAGAACTATGCAACAATAAATTTCTGTTATTTAAGTCATACAGTTTGTTACAGCAGCCCTAGAATACAAATACACTACTCTATAATGTTGAAGCATCTATGAGTCAGGTCTAGTTCCTTTTTGATCCAAATAATAAATATCAACACTCCGTTTCTGGATGGCACCAATGGGGTGGAGAAAAGAAGAAAAGACTTTCTCTTTCTGCTTTCTAGATCTGTTGTTTTTTTCTCAAGTCACCTGTATCTTGAGAAGAAATAGAATTAGGACAAATGTAGCCATATTTTCAAGTCAAGTCCAGAAGCAATCTATGTTCCTAAGGGCAAAAGCAATAGCATGGAAGATGGATGTCATTCAAGGAAAGCAAATCTCTGGCAATGTGGCATAAACACAATTAAGAAAATGTGTTTTTAGTGCATTCTTTTTTGGTATGGTATATATTATATGGGTACCTTTATGCATGTGTAACAAACACCTACCTACTGAGTGCCAGTGTCCTTGCTGAAATAAAGAACACTTGCTGAAATTTTAATTCTGAGTAATGGCAGCATCTTATCTGAGTAGATCTTCATATATAACTTTAAAGGAAGACCATATAATTAATAAACATTTTGCAAGTAAAATACTAACTTTGTATACAATATTTGATGCCTGATGAAGACAACCAATCTTTCTTTAGTTTATTCTAATTGAAACAACATGTAGTGGGTATTTCATGCTGATTCCCTCTTGAGATTTAACTCATCAAGAAAATTAAAAGCAATTTTAAAATGTATTCCCTTCTTTGTGTTTTATGCTATCCATTATTTTTCCCTGCTTGAGATGTAACACGTTTTTTAACTAAAAGCTTAACATTTATTCCCATAAGCATTAATAGAAAATCCCTCAAACCTTTAAATGCATAAAATGTTTTAAGTTCATTTAAATCAAGGAGTGATGACTCATTCTTTATAATGACTTACAGGGTTATGTGGTTTTAATGTTGCTGCTATTTAACATTAATATAACACCAATATGGTGCCAGGCTCTATATGCATTGGAACCCACACAGCATCACATTTAATAGTTAATTGATTGGAAGATTAAATAAGAAAACAGAAAATTGGTGTTGACTTCACATATCAAAAATCAGTTGTCGGCCAGGCGCAGTGGCTCACATCTGTAATCTCAGCAGTTTGGGAGGCTGAGGCAGGTGGATCAGCTGAGGTCAGGCGTTCGAGACCAGCCTGGCCAACAGTAGAAACCCTGTCTCTATTTAAAAAAAAAATACAAAATGAGCTGGGCTTGGTGGTGCGGGCCTGTAATCCCAACTACTCAGGAGACTGAGGCAGGAGAATCGCTTCAACCCAGTAGGCGGAGGTTGCAGTGAGCTGAGATCACGCCATTGCACTCCAGCCTGGGCACCAAGAGTGAAATTCCATCGCAAAAACAATTCAATTGTCAAAATGTCTACTGTAAAATAAATAGATGTCAGACTGTGTAGCAAATATGTTATGAGTAGGTGATTACATTTTGACACCAATTTTCAGACACCTCAGTTTCACTCAGAAGGAACTGAGTGTCCTACAATCCAATTCAATCCTGACATTATCTACCTGGAGTTAGCATCAAATCCCAGAAGTTAAAGGGCAAGGGCCTCAAGAAGACTGCCTTTACTTCAGATGCCAGCCATATGAGGAATCCCCAGTCTACCCTCTTTTCTGTGTAGCTGACTAGAAATTTGGGGTCTCCCACAACCCCAAATTTATCCCTATACACTAGGTCCCTATAAACTTGATGAAGATTATTGAAGTCTAATAATTCACTAGAATGACTCACAGTGTTCAGGAAGCACCACACATATGCTTACCATTTTGTTATAAAGATTTTAGAAGAATAACCAGATGAAAAAGTACAGAGGGCAAGATCTAGGAGGGTTCCAAGCACAGGAGCTTCTGTCCCCATGGAGTCAGAGTGTGCCACCCTCCCAGTTTCATTGTCCAGAGTTTTATATTTTTTTCATTATGTAAGCATGATTGATTAACTAACTGGCCATATGGTTGAGCTCAATACCCAGTCCCCCTCCCCTCTCCAGAGATTGGGCAGCTGAAAGTTCCAACCCAGATCAAACTAGGTGAAGAATGTGCTTCATGAACAGGAAAAGTGATATATTGTGTCAAATGCTACTGAAAAAAACAAATAAAATTAGGATGAGAATTGACCCTAGGTTTTAAAAAAATGTGGAGGTCATTGGGGACCACAATATGTGGTTTCAATGAAGTGCTGGGAACAAAACTTAATTAGAATGTATTTAGAAAACAATGAGATGTGGAAAACTAAAGAGAATTATGTGTAGACAACACTTTTAAAGGTGGGGGTTGCTACGAAGGTTATCACAGATAAGAAGTGAAGAAGTGGTAACCGATATGAAATTTGGGGTTTAGGGAATTTTGTTGATGATGATATTGTTTAAGATGTGAGCTATTTCAGCATGTTTGTAGGTTGAGGACATATTGTATAGGAATAAATTGATGATGTAGGAGAGAAAAGTTATTTGCAGGAGCAAAATCCATAATTGCAGTAAAGCAGATTATGTGGGTGCAGATTTAGTTAGATGGGTAAATGCGGTGTTAGGATTTGCAGTAGGTCTCTTAAGATAGCCTGTATTTCTTCTATGAAATAAGAGGCTAATCAGCTGAGAGTGAGGACAGGGGAGACAATATTAGATGCTTGCAAGGGTGTGAAATAATTGCTTGAATCAGGGGAAAAGAGGATGAAGATAGACTAAGAATTATAGTAGGATCACCTGAAAGTTCTAAGAAACCACTTTAAAGTTTAGTCATAAAATTGAAACAAGACCACAGATAGAAATCTTAAGCCAATTAGATAGATGTAAACTATATTTGGAATTTATTGGCTTCAGCAAACACTTTAAGTAGTATTAGGGAAGATTTGGATTGAGAAAGCAGCCTTCCAGTAAGTCAAAGAAGCTAACAAAATGTGCAATGGTCAAAGGATCAAAAGGTGACACTATTTGGGAAATTAGGTCTTGATATGAGCTTATTGCTTTTGCAAACAGAACTAGTAGGGATGGAGGTGATAGTGATAGTGGTGATGGTGTTGTGTTTACTTCAAAAGATGGCAGATAGTGTTCCACTGCCTCCAACCTCCTTCCCAAATTCAGAAAAGATGAGGATGGAACTCCTTGAGTGTCAGCATTCCATGGCATACAGTTTTTGAGCTTCAGAGCTAAGTTCAGCCTACTTGTCCTTCCATTTCTGCTCATTATCTCTCCTACCCCACAGAGGAACTCTGCTTGCTTAGCCAAATCCACCACTCAAAACAGAAAGGGGAATACTCTTATTTTATTCAGATGTATTCTGTGAAATGTGAGAAGTGCATAGTAAATATTGTATTAGGATTTACTTTCGTTAATATTACTACTACTGTCTTCCCCATGTCACTGAAATCATACTATTTGATAAAGCTGCACAATGGGCTCAGTTCCCAGCAATCTTCTCTACTTGATATTGTGGGAAAAATTCTGGAGGAACCCTATTTGTTGTATTGCTGATCCAACAAGACCACCTGGCTAGATCTGAGTAAATCAGAACAATGCCTGCCTTACTGCCATTTCTACGTGAGCCACTGTCTTTGCTAGTTTAGTGTTGCTATAAATGAACACCTGAAGCTGGGTAATTTAAAAAGCAAATAGACTTATTCAGCTCAGTTCTGCTGCCTGGAAAGTTCAAAATTGGGCATCAGGTGAGGGCGTCCAGCTGCTTCTCCTCATGACAGAAGGCAAAGACGAGCTGGAATTTACAGAGATCACATGGTGACAGCAGAAGCAAGACAGAGGGGAGAAAGGTGCCAAACTCTTTTTAACAACAACCAACTGTCTTGGGAACTAGGAAGAGTAAGATCTCACTCACCCACCTGCCCACCTACTCCCCACCTCTGCCAAGGAGGGCATTAACCTATTCATGAGGCATCTGCCCCCCATGATTCAAACACTTCCCATTAATCCCTAACTCCAATATTAGAATTAAATTTCAACAAGAGATTTTTGGAGCAAATATCTAAACTATAGTAACCACCTATAATGATACTCACCAGGACTTGTTACTCCTTGACACTGTGTATTGTATCCGGTTTCTTTGTTGAAATACAGCAGGGTTTTCATGGCCAGGGCTTTACTGCATAAAAGGGGTGATGACAACTGATGAATGAACTCCTATTCAGCTGAGTGTACTTTTAACAGTAGGCTGCATTTTGTCGAATTTTATTGTTTCCAGGACATGTTTACATACATTATCTCATTTGAGTATCATGGTTTTTTGAGGTTGTCAGCAAAGAATTTATTCTATACATTTAAAGGCAAATGTAGCTTATACTGTGAATTTCTGAAGACTATATAGATAGTAAATGGCAGAGCTCTACTAAACCCAAGTCTCCTAGAAGAGTGTTCTTTCTATTACATATTGCCACAGTGTCTTTCTTTCTTTTTTTTAATTATACTTTAAGTTTTAGAGTACATGTGCACAACGTGCAGGTTTGTTACATATGTATACATGTGCCATGTTGGTGTGCGCACCCATTAACTCGTCATTTAAAATTAGGCATATCTCCTAATGTTATCCCTCCCCCTCCCCCCACCCCACTACAGGCCCCGGTGTGTGATGTTCCCCTTCCACCACAGTGTCTTTCAAATGATCTTGAGTGTAGTTCAATCATTTCTAAATGAAAGCCTAATCTGTGCTAAGCATTATGCTATATGCTAGAGAAATAATTATTTTTACTTTTTGTTTATTTTCAAGGTAAAATTTTATTAGTTTATTTTACTTATATAAATAATATGTATGAATTATAAGAGATTGGAACAATCCTAAAATTAAAGAGAAAAGTAATAAACCACAATCCTATCATACTGAAGTAACTTCCTATATCATTTAGTTAAATTTTCTTTCTGTTAAACCTTAAAAATTTATCATGCTAATAGAATGAAATAAGAAAAACTGATGGAATATCATGGAGATACTTTAGTATGTGTCCTTGAGAAAGAAGGGTGAAAATACTCCACTATGATTGTGAATTGTCAAATTCTTCTTATAATTATTTCAATTTTTTTGTGAATATTTTCAGGCTATGCTCTTAAATGCATTCAACTTTTAAAACTGCTATAGTCCTGATACATTGTTCATTTTATCATTGTGCATTGACCCCCTTTATTTCTAGTGTTTTTTGCCTTAAAATTTGCTTTGTCTAATATTAAGATAGTCTCAACAGCCTTCTTTTGTATAATTTACCTGCATGTCCATTTCTGTCTCTTCACATTGAATCTTTCCATGTACCTGTGTTTTAGATGTATCTCTCATGAATAATTTATAAATACATTTGTTTTTTGCCCAACCCATCAATACTCGCCTTTTAATTAGTGAGTTTAGTCCATTTATATGTATTGTGATGACAAATATGAATATATTTATTTCTACTATCTTACCATGTGCTTTCTACTTGTCCTCTTTTTTCTATACATTCTTTTGCCTCCTGTTCTACCTTATATTCTCTTATTTTCCCTCTACTGGTGTAGAAAGATAGTCTATTTATATTAGTTTTGTTATTTCCCTTTAAAATGTGCATACCTACTTGACTTTATATGTGTAAAGTCAATCAATATGTGAAGTCAATCACTATCTTTTTTTATTCTCCTTCTGAGTAATAAGTACATTAAAATGCTGTAACTTCAACCACTACTTACCATTTTGCCATATTTTCCAGTACCTTACTATTCTTTGATTTTATACCATCAACTGAGTTGTTTTTCATTTTATTTTATAGTTACTTATTGGTATCACTCTTGAATAATAATTTGTCTAGATATAAAATTCTAAGTAGTTTTCTTTCAAAACTGAAGATGTTTTATGCACTTCTAATATCTATTACTACTGCGATGTCTCCTGTTAATTTTTTATTTGTAGGTAATATGCTTTTCCTCTCTTATTGATTTTAAGATATTTTTATGTTTAGTGTGCAGTTTAACCCTGATATGCATAGCTTTGGATTTAGTTTTATTTATCATTGCAGTTTTAACTCTGATTTTTGATTCTGATTATTTGTGTCTTTCATAATATGGGCTAAAATATAAGCCTTCCTTTTCTTTGACTATTGTCACTCTTCTATTTTATGTATTCTCTTCTCTGTAATTCAAAATTCATGTATGTTGAACCTTCCAATTCAATTTTCTATGAATCTGAATCTCTCATATTTTCCCTTTCTTCATTTCTCTGTGCTGTACTATGAATACCTTTCTTAGATTTATCTCCAAGATTATTAATTTTGTCTTTAGCAGTTGTGATGCAATGAACAAGATTGTCTGAAAATGACCCTGTGAGTTCACTTTGAGTTGACTTGACAAAGATCACACTGGAACCAGGGGCTCTCCCTTTTACCAGCAAGGGAGTTTGCATCCATTCAGTTTGTCATTAGACCCATGCTTTCCTCTACCAAATAGGTACTCATGTACACCAAGTTTTCCAGATTCTTTGTGGCTAGCATCACAATAAAATTTTTCTATACATATAGCCCATGAAATCTAGACAGTCTCATGTCGGCCAGTCTATGTGGTAATCTACTAACAAGACTATTTCCTCAATTTGCCCTAAAAATCAGTAGAATTACAGGAGAATGATCATCTTTTACAGGGTCATAGATCCTATGGAATAACATCCTTCAGATCTTGGCAAAGCTTCCTTGGTGATGCCAGAATAAAGTGGTCTCACACCTCTTCTTCTCTTGTATATGTAGGTTTCCTTAGTTTATATAAGTGTTCTTTGTAAACCTTATTTCTTAACCCATGCAGTGTAACATTGTGAAGTTTGTCCCAAACCCTGTTACAGGTCAGATGAAGTTTAGTTGCTTATGATATGCTGTTTTCTAGAAAGTTTTGTGACTTAGAATTGTAGGTTCATCTTCAGTAGGGCTTTATCTAGAAAAGTGGTTATCAAACTTAAGCTTGAATCAGAATCATCTGAAGGACTTATTGAAACACAGATTGTTAGATGTCAACATTTCCTTAGGGTTAGGGTTAGGGTTCTGATTTGGTAGGTCTTGGTTGAGGCTCAAGACTGGGCATTTTTAACAAGTTACAGGTGATGCTGATGTTCATGGTCCCTGAACACATGTTGAGAAGTACTAGTCTTCAGGGAATTCTTTTCCCTAGCTGAGAACATGTTGTTTCATTGAGGTGTACATTGTTTCTGTGAAACAATGAAGGGCTGTGACCAAAGACATTTTTATTCTAATTTATTGGCAGTAAGTTGCAGATAATCTAAATTCAGGTTCCCAAACCAGGTGAAGGCAGGCCTACTGTTATGAATGTTTAGAGAACACTTTTTATTTGTAACTTAAGGCAAAGGGTGAAACAACAGCAACAAAAAAAACTTCCTTGTTATATTTTTTATTATATGGTAAGTATGATAAGTGGAGTTTTCTTTCTTTCTTTCTTTTCTTTTTTCTTTTTTTTCTTTTTTTTTCTTTTTTGAGACGGAGTCTTGCCCTGTCCCCCAGGCTGGAGTGCAATGGCGCTATCTCGGCTCACTGCAACCTCCGCTTCCCGGGTTCTAGTGATTCTCCTACCTTAGCCTTCCAGGTAGCTGGGATTAGAGTCATCCGCTACCACTTTCAGCTAATTTTTGTACTTTTAGTAGAGCTGGGGTTTCGCCATGTTGGTCAGGCTAGTCTCGAACTCCTGACCTCAGGTGATCCACCTGCCTCAGCCTCCCAAAGTGCTGAGATTACAGGCGTGAGACACCGCTCCTGGCCCCCAAGTGGAGTTTTTATAGTCTATGTATTCACTGAGGTTGAGGCCCTATAATGATTCCTGGCATTAGGTAGAATCATTAGGGAATTCCAATTTCCCATTTTGTGTGAACCCAAGGCCATTAAAACTCATATTCCTTTGATTACTGAGACCAATCAACTTTCTCCAGGGCAGCGATAGCTACAATTGTACCATTTTGCACTATTTTTGAGTTTCCTTTCCATTTGGGGCTTATAGGCGTTTCTTTATTCTTTTCTGAGCTCTTATGTGAGCTCTTAATTCTCTTATAATATATACTCTCTTAAATACATTCTCTTATAATTGTCTTATAATATATTCTCAATATATATAGAGAGAATACTATATATTTTCTGTATATTTAAGTACTGCATGTTTAAATATTTTATATTATATATATATATACCGAGAAAGAATATATTATAAGAGAATTTCACATTTCTAAAGGTATGATAGAGGGAAGATTTTCAGGTTATTTAGTTTGCCACATTGCTGGAAATGGAATCATATTCTTATAATAGTATTAATTGACATAAAAATTCTACATATTTTTGGTGTTCAACATGATGTTTTAAAATATGTACATTTTGTGAAATAGCTATATTAAACTAATTAACATATGCATTATCTCACATATTTATCATTTCTGCGGGGTGAGAAAACTTAAAATCTACTCTATTAGCAATTTTTAAGTCTACAATACATTGTTATTAACTACAGTCATGGTGTACAAGAGATGCCTTGAACCTGTTTCTCCTGACTAACTGAAACTTGATATCCTTAACGATAGGCTTGTTATTTAAAGGTAAACAATCTTGCCAAATACAAAACAGTGTTTGTAGCAACATTGTACTGGTATCTTGATCCAAGGAAGTCCCAAATTACAGCTCTATAGAGTGAATATAAAGATTAGCATATATTACTGCCAGAATTATACATAGTAGGACTTTCTCTAATAATTACTGGCATTGAGTATTATTTATTTAATGGCATGGATATGATAGCTAATCTAGCAATTGGCAGACATGTTTCAATTTGAAAACCACCACCAATTGATTTGTAATAGCTTCCCTGAGCATTATGTTGACAAGGATTTTGAGGCCAAATCCAGGTTCACTGTGAGAAAGATTGTTATTGTTCACAATAACAACTATCAATATCTAACATTTTTGAGTTTTTAAAATATGCTAGTGACTCTGATAAATGTTTACATAATTATAATATTTGATCCTCACAACAATCCTATGAGGTGAGTCCTATTATTATTCCTGTTTAACACATGAAGAAACTGAAATTTAAAAAGGTAGAGTAACTTGTCCAAAGTCTCAATACTAGCTACTGTTAGAACAAATATTAGCATCCTACCAAAAATCATGTGCACTCATATGTTCATTGCAGCATTATTCACAATATCAAAGACATGGAATCAACCTAGGTGTCTATCAATGGTGGATTGGATAAAGAAAATTTGGTACATATACACCATGGAATACTACACAACCATATAAAAGAATGGAATTATGTCCTTTGCAGCAACATGAATGGAGCTAGAAGCCGTAATCTTAAGTGAATTAGTACAGAAACAGAAAACCAAACATCACATGTTCTCACTTATAAGTGAGAGCTAAACTGAATACACATGGACATAAAGATAGGAACAACAGACACTGGGCAGTACTAGAGGAGGGAAGGGCGAAGGGAGGAAAAGGGTTAAAAACTATTTACTGGGTACTATGCTCACTGCCTGGCTGATTGGATCATCCATACCCCAAACCTCAGCATTACACAATATTTCCATGTAAAAAAATCTACACATGTACCCCCTGAATCTAAAATAAAAGTTGAAATTATTTATAAAAATAATTAAAAAGTAAAAAACAGTGATTAGAATTCAAGTCTATTTGACTGTAGAACCCAAGATCTTAACTGGTATCCCAAAGTTTTTCAAATTTGAAAAATATTACCCTTCAAAAAAATATTATCTACTCCCACATGTTTATTTAAATATTTTATATTATTTTGGTTGTTAAATGAATTCAATTATAAGCAAGATATAAACTCCTTATTTATATAACTTTTATACAAATACTGCAAAAATGCAAAACAAATTCACAAATTACAAATAAAGCTACAAAATAGATTAGATAAAATCAATTCTATTAATTTAATGTGATGGATGATGCTACTTGCTTAAACCAAATAATAAAAGGGTTTTTAACAATACATTATTTTGATGAATTAATTTATTAGCATCTTAACATATAGTACTTAAAGTATAAAAATAGTATTTATCAAAAGTTTATTAAGTAATTGCTACGTATTGCTTACTACTAATGAAGAATTGAGACTTATATATACAAAGATGACTGTGTAATTTGAATATGTAAATGAATGCTACTGTTCAGGTTCATTTAAGTTTGGCATTACTATACTTCTATGTACTGTGAGATTATTCAGTCCTTTTATAATTTTTTAAAAATTGAACTACAGTAAAGCCAACACTTGCCATGCGTTAATTGATATTCACTTGGCATGAGTACATAAATTATGTGTGAAATTCTCTCTGTTCTTAATCTTATTACCTCCCACAATTAGTTATTGCTCCACTAATTTATTTGTATGACATTAAAGTCTTATTTTACTAATAACTAAAACCATGAAAAGTCATGTTTTATTAAAATGTTCCTCAGTAGTGAGATACCACTCCAGAATAGAATTTTTACTTAAATAATCATTGGAACAAAATGTCAACATTTCTTATAAATCACACCTGTGATTTCAAGACCCAGTTTGAGAAATATTGCTTTCCACAATCTTTTGTGTTTGTGAAGTAGGATCATTCAGATTCTGAGTTCAATTTTTTCCAAGGTGAAAATTTGCTATAAAATAGCAATTTAGAAACAAAAGTTCTATGAACAAAGCTTTTATGCATTCATTCTATTACAAGATTTGGGGGTTAATAATAAGAATAATTAGCTTTTTTTATTATTATACTTTAAGTTCTAGGGTACATGTGCACAACGTGCAGGTTTGTTACATATGTATACATGTGCCATGTTGGTGTGATGCACACATTAACTCGTCCTTTACATTAGATATATCTCCTAATGCTATCCCTCCCAAGAATAATTAGTTTTATTGAGTTCTAACCATGTGCCAGGCACTGTTATAGACAATTTACATGACTTATATAAGTTATACTGCCAACCCTTGAGGCAGGTTCTATTATCTTTATTTTAGGATAAGAAAAATGAAGTATCAATAGGTTAATGAACATAAACAAAATCATGTGGCTAATGATGAAGCTAGATTTATTCTGAGTCCAGGGTCTACCTTACTAATTACTTTACTATACTGCCTCATGGTGACCAATTTCAGTTTGCATTTTGGACCCTCCTAAACAGTGCTTTTCATTCCTGTTATTAATATTATTCTTATTCCTATTAAATTTCTAGTATTATGTTCAGAACAAAGAAACCCCTGGGTCTGAAATCACGTGGTCACCTTTTCAGTAATAGGAAGTGTGCAAAATGAATGTCCCTGGAAAATTACTTATGGCTCTTTGAATTCTAATGTTTTGCTATTCTATTCTATTTAATTGCATTGTAGCATATATAAAGATGTATTTTGTGAGAACACCAACATAAAAAAGGTGGGGATGGAGCTGTATGTGAGTAAAGTTTTTGCATGCTATTGAACTTAAGTTAGTAGTATTTCAAACTAGACTGTTATAAATTTAGGATGCTAAAGGTAATCTCCAGGTTAAGCACGAAGAAAATATCAGAAAAAACACACAAAGAAAATGAGAAGGGAATCAGAATTATTCACTATGAAAAAGTCGAGTAAATACAAAAGAAGTTCATAATAAAGAAAATGAAGGACAAAAAGGATATAAGACAAACAGAAAACAAATAGTAAAATGGAAGGCGTAAGTCCTTTATCAGTAATCACTTTTAAAGTGATTTACATTTAATGTTAATAGGTTAAAGTCTGCAATCAAAAGACAAATATTGAAATAATGGATTGTAAAAAAATGATCTAACTACATACTATCTACAGGAGACTCACTTTAGGTTAAAAGAAAAAATATATTGAGAGTGAAAGAATAAAATTAAAAAGTGAAAGAGTAAAACACATAAAAAGTAATCAAAAGAGAACTGAAGTGACCATATTAACAGCAAACAAAATAGATTTTAAGTGAAAAACTGTTATGAGACAAGGAAGAGCATTATTTGTAAAAAGAAAAATTGTCCAACTCATCAAGAAGATGTAACAATTATGAACATATCTGCATTAAACAACAGAGCCCCAAAATATCTAAAGTGAACACTGAAAAAATTTGAAGGAAAAAATAGACAATTCTACAGTAATAAGTAGAGACTTTGAAACACCAAATTAAATAATGAGTGAAATATCTAGATAGAAGATCAATAAAAATTAGAAGACTTATACAACATTATAAAACAAGTAGTCCCAGCATATGTAGAACCCTCTGCTGAACAACAGGAGAATATATGTTCTCAAGGGCACATGGGACTTTTTTCAGAATAGCCCGTATGTTAACACAAAACAAGTTTCAGTTAATTTTAAAAAATTGATACCCATGATGGTTAATAGTAAATGTCAACTTGATTGGATTGAAGAATGTCTAGATAGCTAGTAAAGTGTTGTTTCTGGGTGTGTTTATGAGGGTGTTGCCAAAGGAGATTGACATTTGAGTCAGTGGACTGAGAGATGAAGACCTACCCTCAGTGTTGGTGGGCACCATCCAATTAGCTGCCAGCAAAGCTAGAATAAAGCAGCGGAAGAAAGTGGGATAAGCTGGTTTGCTGAGTTTTCTGGCTTCCATCTTTCTCCTGTGCTAGATGCTTCCTTCCGTTTCTCCTGTCCTTGGACATTAGAGTCCAGATTCTTTGGCCTTTGTACTCTTGGACTTACACCAATGATTTTCCAGGGGATCTCAGGCCTTGACCACAGGCTGAAGGTTGCACTGTTGGTTTCCCTGCCTTTGAGGCTCTTAGACTCGGACTGAGCCACTACTGGCATCTTTCTTCCCCAGCTTACAGATGGCCTGTTGTGTGACTTTACCTTGTGATCATGTAAGCCAATTATCCCTAATAAACTCCCTTTCATATATATATCCTATTAGTTCGGTCCCTCTGACTAATACTAAGTCAGGGAGAACCCTGACTAATACAATAACATACAAGTATCATCTGTGACACAATGGAATGAAACTAGAAGAAAATAACAAAAACTGTAAAATTCAAAATATGTAAAAATTAAACCACACACACTTACACAACCATTGAATCAAATAAGAAATTACTAGAGAATTAGAAAACAGTTTGAGAGGATTGAAAATGAAAATACAACATGCCAAAACTTATGGTATACATCAAAGGCATTGCTAAAAGGAAAATTTATAGGATTAAATATCCATATCATAAAAGAATAAAAATTTCAAATCAGTAACCTACCTTTACACTTAAAAGAACTAGAAAAAAAAGAGAAAACTAAACAGAATGCTAGCAAAAGAAAGGAAATAATGAAAATTAGTACAGTTTTTTGTTTAAAAAAAAGATAATAGGGAAAGAGTAGAGAAAATTAAAAAAAAAAAAAGTTAGTCCTTTGGATAGATTGACAAAATTAGCAAATCTTTAGAGAACAGGACAAAGAAGAAAAGAGATAAGACACCCATACTAAAATCAGAAATGAAAGTGGAGACATTAATAACAACTTTGGGGCATGGCCAACATGGCCTATTAGAAGCAAAAGTGATCAGAAGCTCCCATTGAAAAGAACCATAACAGCATGTGAATCCTGCACTAGCAACTGAGATATCCAGGTTCTCTCATCAAAACTGACTAGGTGGCTGGTGTGACCCATGGAGAGGAAGGAAGAGCAGTGTGGTGAGGTGGCCCACCTGAGATCCACGCCAGGCAGGGGAGACCCCATCCCCTAGCCAAGGGAGGTGGTCAGTGAGCATGCTGCTCAGCCTGGGAAGTCGAGATGTTTCCAGGGAACTGTGCAACTCATGGATAGGAAGATTCCACTCGTGAGCCCATGCCAATGGGGCCTAGGGTTTCAACCACAAAGCCACGCAGATTCTCAACAGCCTCTCAGCTAAAGTCTGCTTAAGGGTGCTGAGTTCCTCGGGGGAAGGACGACCAGCACCACAGGTACAGCTGCCTGCCGTCTAAGTCTTTGAGCTTCTTTTTTTTTTTTTTTTTTTTTTTTTGGGTGCTAAGGCCTAGTCAAGCTAACGTCTCAAATGAATCATCACATTGGCTGAGTAATCTTGGATCTTCCGATTTTCAAATGCAAAGGGAAGAATGAAAACCATTTTTTTTTTTATTATACTTTAAGTTTTAGGGTACATGTGCACATTGTGCAGGTTAGTTACATATGTATACATGTGCCATGCTGGTGCACTGCACCCACTAACTCATCATCTAGCATTAGGTATATCTCCCAGTGCTATCCCTCCCCCCTCCCCCCACCCCACCAAAGTCCCCAGAGTGTGATATTCCCCTTCCTGTGTCCACGTGATCTCATTGTTCAATTCCCATCTATGAGTGAGAATATGCGGTGTTTGGTTTTTTGTTCTTGCGATAGTTTACTGAGAATGATGATTTCCAATTTCATCCATGTCCCTACAAAGGACATGAACTCATCATTTTTTATGGCTGCATAGTATTCCATGGTGTATATGTGCCACATTTTCTTAATCCAGTCTATCATTGTTGGACATTTGGGTTGGTTCCAAGTCTTTGCTATTGTGAATAATGCCGCAATAAACATATGTGTGCATGTGTCTTTATAGCAGCATGATTTATAGTCATTTGGGTATATACCCAGTAATGGGATGGCTGGGTCAAATGGTATTTCTAGTTTTACATCCCTGAGGAATCGCCACACTGACTTCCACAGTGGTTGAACTAGTTTACAGTCCCACCAACAGTGTAAAAGTGTTCCTATTTCTCCACATCCTCTCCAGCAGCTGTTGTTTCCTGACTTTTTAATGATTGCCATTCTAACTGGTGTGAGATGGTATCTCATAGTGGTTTTGATTTGCATTTCTCTGATGGCTAGTGATGATGAGCATTTTTTCATGTGTTTTTTGGCTGCATAAATGTCTTCTTTTGAGAAGTGTCTGTTCATGTCCTTCACCCACTTTTTGATGGGGTTGTTTGTTTTTTTCTTGTAAATTTGTTTGAGTTCATTGTAGATTCTGGATATTAGCCCTTTGTCAGATGAGTAGGTTGCAAAAATTTTCTCCCATTTTTAGGTTGCCTATTCACTCTGATGGTAGTTTCTTTTGCTGTGCAGAAAAACAAGCAATGGGGAAAGGATTCCCTATTTAATAAATGGTGCTGGGAAAACTGGCTAGCCATATGTAGAAAGCTGAAACTGGATCCCTTCCTTACACCTTATACAAAAATCAATTCAAGATGGATCAAAGATTTAAACGTTAGACCTAAAACCATAAAAACCCTAGAAGAAAACCTAGGCATTACCATTCAGGACATAGGCATGGGCAAGGACTTCATGTCCAAAACACCAAAAGCAATGGCAACAAAAGACAAAATTGACAAATGGGGTCTTTGAGCTTCTTGAGGGAAGGGCAGCAGCCAGCACTGGGACTGATAGCTGCCTAACACGCTAAGTTTTCAGGGTGAGGGAAGGGAGGCAGCCATCTCTATAACTCCAGGCCATGATTTTCCTCTGCTGGAGCCAGGGAGACCAAACGGCTAGGTCCCAAGAGATATCCCCCATAGCCCAACACACCGGCTGTGGCAGACTGTGGCCAGAGTGCATCTTCAGGTCTAACCCTGACCCATCCCTCCCCCGGGTGGGGTCTCTCTGCAAAAACTCCAACAACTCCAGCCAGGGGCTCAGGTACAGAACTCTGATCTTCCTGGGCCTGAGCCCCTAGAGGGAAGGGTGGCCACAGTCTCCACGGACCAGCAGACAATCGTTCCTCTTGCTATTTCTGAGGAATCCAGGCAGCCCAGACGAGTGGGTTTTTCCCCCAGCAAAGCACACCCCCTCCATCAAGAGACAAAGTTCTTCATAAAACAGGTCCTGCTCCCTGTGCCACCCAACTAGGTGAGACCTTCCAACAAGGGTTGTCAGACACCCTATACAAAAGAGTTCCTACTGGCATCAGGTTGATGCCTCTCAAGGTCAGAGATCCCAGAGAAAGGACCAGGCACCCATCTTTGCTGTTCTCCAGTCTCCATTAATGACATCTCCAGGAGTAGGAGTGATCCAGATGAATAGGACCTGAAGTGAACCGCCAGCAAACTGCAGCAGCACCACAGAAGGGGGACCTATAGAAAGAAAAAAAAACAGACAGCAACAACAACAGAATCAACAAAAAAAAGTCCCCACACAAACCACATCCAAGGGTCAGCAGCCTCAAAGATTGAAACTAGACAAACTCATGAAGCTGAGAAAGAATCAACGAAAAAATGCTGAAAACACTTCTCCTCCAAATGATCATAATGCCTCTCAGCATTAGACAAAGGATAAGACAGATGAATTGACAGAGGTAGGATTGCGAATGTGGGTAATAACAAACTCTGCTGAGCTAAAAGAGCATGTTCTAACCTAATGCAAATAAGCAAGGAAACTTGATAAAGGTTGCTGGAGCTGCTAACCAGAATACCCAGTTTAGAGAGGGAAGTAAATGACCTGATGGAGCTGAAAAACACATCATGAGAACTCCATGAAGTATACATGAGTATCAATAGCTGAATCAATCAAGTGGAAGAAAGGATATCAGAGTTTGAAGACCATCTTGCTGAAATAAGGCATCCAGACAAGATTAGAGAAAAAAGAATAAAAAGGAACAAACAAAACCTCTGAGAAATATGGGACTGTGTAAAAAGACCGAACTTATGATTGATTGGAGTAGCTGAAAGAGATGAGGAGAATGGAACCACGTTGGAAAACACAATTCAAGATATTACCCAGGAGAACTTCCCCAATCTAGCAAGACAGGCCAACTTTCAAATTCAGGAAATACAGAGAACAACATTAAGATACTCCACAGGAAGATCAACTTCAAGACACATAATCATCAGATTCTCCAAGGTTGAAATGAAGAAAAAAATGTTAAGGGCAGCCAGAGAGAAAGGCCAGGTCACCTACAAAAGGAAGCCCATCAGACTAACAGTGGGTCTCCCAACAGAAACCCTACAAGCCAGAAGAGGGTGGGGGCCAATATTCAACATTCTTAAATAAAATAATTTTTAACTCAGAATTTCATAGCCAGCCAAACTAAGCTTCATAAGTGAAGGAGAAGTAAAATCATTTCAGACAAGCAAATGCTGAGGGATTTCATCACCACCAGGCCTGCCTTGCAAGAGCTCCTGAAGGAAGAACTAAATATGGAAAGGAAAAAATGATACCAGCCCCTGCAAAAACACGCTGAAATACAAGGACCAATGACACTATGAAGAAACTGCATTAACTAGTGTACAAAATAACCAGACAGCATCATGATGATGGGATCAAATTCACACACAAGGATATTAACCTTAAATGTAAATGGGCTAAATGCCCCAATTAAAAGACACACACTGGCAAGTTGGATAAACAGTCAGGACCCATTGTTGTGCTGTATTCAGGAGACCTATCTTATGTGCAAAGACACACATAGGCTGAAAATAAAGGGATACAGGAAAATTTACCAAGCAAATGGAAAAAAAAATAGTGGGAGTTGCAACCCTAGTCTCTGACAAAACAGACTTTATACCAGCAAAGATCAAAAAAGACAAAGAAGGGCATTACATAATGGTAAAGGGATCCATTTAACAAGAAGATCTAACTATCCTAAATATATATGCACCCAATACAGGAGTACCCAGATTTATAAAATAAGTTCTTAGAGAACTACACAAGGACTTAGACTCCCACACATAATAGTGGGATATTTAACACCCCCCGTCAAAATTAGACAGATCAATGAGACAGAAAATTAACAAGGATACTCAGGACGTGAACTCGGCTCTGGATCAAGTGGTCCTAATAGACATCTACAGAACTCTCCTAAAACAAATCAACAGAATATATATTCTTATCAGTGCCACATGACACTTATTCTAAAATCAGCCACATAATTGGAAGTAAAACACTCCTCAGCAAAGCAAATGCAAAAGAATTGAGATAATAACAGACTCTCAGACAACAGTGCAATCAAATTAGAACTCAGGATTAAGAAAGTCACTCAAAACTACACGACTACATGGAAATTGAACAACCTGCTCCTGAATGACTCCTGGGTAAATAATAAAATCAAGGCAGAAATCAAGAAGTTCTTTGAAACCAATGAGAACAAAGAAACAACATACCAGAATCTCTGGGACACAACTAAAGCAATGTTAAGAGGGAAATTTATAGTACTAAATGACCACATCAGAAAGCTAGAAAGATCTCAAATTGACACCCTAACATCACAATTAAAAGAACTAGAGAAGCGGGGGCAAACAAATCCAAAAACTGGCAGAAGACAAGAAATAACTAAGATCAGAGCAGAATTGAAGGAAATAGAGACACGAAAAATCCTTCAAAAATCGATGAATGTAGGAGCTGGTGTTTTGAAAAAATTAACAAAATAGATAGACTGCTAGCTAGACTAATAAAGAAGAAAAAAGGGAAGAATCAAATAGACACAATAAAAAGTGATAAAGGGGATATCACCACTGACACCACAGAAATACAAACTACCATAAAAGAATACTATAAACACCTGTACACAAATAAGTTAAAAAGTCTAGAAGAAATGGATAAATTTCTGGACACATACACTCTCCCAAGACTAAACCAGGAAGAAGTCGAATCCCTGAATAGACCAATAGCAAATTCTGAAACTGAGGCAGTAGCCCACCAACCAAAAAAAGCCCAGGACCAGACAGATTCACAGCTGAATTCTACCAGAGGTACAGAAAGGATCTAGTTTCATTTCTTCTGAAACTATTCCAAACAATTGAAAAGGAGGGACTCTTCCCTACCTCATTTTATGAGGCAAGCATCATCCTGATACCAAAACTTGACAGGGATACAACAAGAAAATAAAACTTCATGCCAATATCCCTGAGGAACATCAATGAGAAAATCCTCAATAAAATACTGGTAAATCGAATCCATCAGCACATCAAAACTTTGTCCACCATGATCAAGTCAGCTTCATCCCTGGCATGCAAGGCTGGCTCAACATGAACAAATCAATAAACATAATCTGTCATACGAACAGAACCAATGACAAAAACTGCAGGATTATCTCAATAGATGCAGAAAAGGCCTTCAATATAATTCAACACCCCTTTATGTTAAAAACTCTAAATAAACTAAATACTGATGGAACATATCTCAAAATAAGAGCTATTTATGGCAAACCCACAGCCAATATCACACTGAATGGGCAAAAGCTGGAAGCATTCCCTTTTAAAACTAGCATAGGACAAAGAAATCCTCTCTCACCACTCCTATTCAACATAGTATTGGAAGTTCTGGCCAGAGCAATCAGGCAAGATAAAGAAATAAAGAATATTCGAATATGAAGAGAGGAAGTCAAATTGTCTCTGTTTGTAGATGGCATCATTCTAAAACTCCTTAAGCTGATAAGCAACTTCTGCAAAGTCTCAAGATACAAAATCAATGTGCGAAAATCACAAGCATTCCTGTATACCAACAATAGACAACCAGAGAGCCAAATCATGAATGAACTCCCATTCACAATAGCTACAAAGATAGTAAAATACCTAGAAATACAGCTAACAAAGGATGTGAAAGACCTCTTTAAGGAGAACTACAAACCACTGCTCAAGGAAGTAAGAGAGGATACAAACAAATGGAAAAACATTCCATGCTCATGGATAGGAAGAATCAATATGGTAAAAATGGCCATACCTCCCAAAGTAATTTACAGATTCAATGCCATTCCCATCAAACTATCACTGACATTCTTCACAAAATTAGAGAAAACTACTTTAAATTTTATATGGAATCAAAAAAGAGCCCACATACCCAAGACAATCCTAAGCAAAAATAACAAAGCTGAAGGCATCGTGCTTCCTGACTTCAAACTATACTACAAGGCTACAGTAACCAAAACAGCATGGTACTGGTACCAAAACAGACAGATAGATGAATGAAACAGAATAAAGACCTAAGAAAGAACAGCACACATCTACAACCATCTGATCTTCGACAAACCTGACAAAAACCAGCAATGGGGAAAAGATTTCCTACTTAATAAATGGTACTGGGAAAACTGACTAGCCATACGCAGAACACTGAAACTGACCCCTTCCTTAGAACTTATACAAAAAATAACTCAAGATGGATTAAAGAGTTAAATGTAAAACCCAAATCCATAAAAACCCTAGAAGAAAACCTAGGCAATACCATTCAAGACATAGGCCTGGGCAAAGATTTCCTGACAAAAATGCCAAAAACAATTGCAACAAAAGACAAAATTGACAAATGAAATCTAATTAAACTAAAGAGCTTCTACACAACAAAAGAAATTATCATCAGAGTGAACAGAAAACCTATAGATTGGGAGAAAATTTTTGCAATCTTCCCATCTGACAAGGACTAATATCCAGAATCTACAAGAAACTTAAACAAATTTACAAGAAAAAAAAACAGCCCAATCAAAAAGTGAGGAAAGGATATAAACAGACACTTCTCAAAAGAAGACATTTATGTGGCCAAAACAAACCTAAGAAAGAAAGCTCAACATCACTGATCATTAGAGAAATGCAAATCAAAACCACAACGTGATACCATCTCATGCCAGTCAGAATGTTGATTATTAAAATGTCAAGAAACAATAGATGCTGGTGAGGTTGTGGATAAATAGGAATGCTTTTACACTGTTTGTGGGTATGTAAATTAGTTCAACCATCGTGGAAGACAGTGTAGTGATTCCTCAAGGATCTAGAACCAGAAATACTTTTTGATCCAGCAATCCCATTACTGGGTATATACCTAAAGGAGTATAAATCATTCTACTATTAAGACACATGCACATGTATGTTTATTGCAGCCCTATTTACAATAGCAGAGACATGGAACCAAGCCTATCAATGATAAGACTGAATAAATAAAATGTGGTACATATACACTATGGAATACTATTCAGCCATAAAAGTAATGAGATCATGTTCTTTGCAGGGACATGGATGAAGCTGGAAGCCATTACCCTCAGAAAAGTAACACAGGAACAGAAAACCAAACACTGCATATTCTCACTCATAAGTGGGAGGTAAACAATGAGAACACATGGACACAGGGAGCAGAACAACACACACTGGAGCCAGTCAGGGTGTGGAGGGTAATGGGAGGGACAGCATTAGGACAAATAGCTAATGCATGTGGGGCTTGAAACCTACAGGACAAGTTGACAGGTGAAGTAAACCACCCTGGCACATGTATACCTATGTAACAAACCTACACATTCTGCACTTGTATCCCAGAACTAAAAGTAAAATTTAAAAAAATAAAATAAACAAATAAATAAAAGAATACTGATTGTGGAATCTGGCTTGAATATAGACTCCATTACTGATTAGCTACATGTCTCATTTTTTAAAAAAGCTGTTGAAATAGACTACATCACCTGTTTTAGCTCTTTGAAATCAAGTGTAACTTTAATATTTATTCTGAAGTCTTGCCTGAGTTTTGATAATAAGAACATCCTAAGACAGGGTCCTCCTCTTTGTGAGTCAGTATTTTATCCCAGGCACCTAGCACATGCCTGGCTTGGAGTGGGTGCTCAGCAAAACTCTGTGGAACAAACAAAAGAATGAATAAATAAATAAATAAATGAAAGTTTGTCTGCAGCTTAAAAAACAAAGAAAAGAAAGAAAAAAGAAAAGAAAAGAAAACTTAGCCATTAGAGAGGCGTGTTAAAGACGTATTTACTCCAAACTCTCGAACCTGATGGAAAGCTTAAATGAAATTGAAAAGGGCACACTTTTATGTTTAAGAGATTCAATGGTTAATTCTGCATCTGTGTATGCAACCTAAGAGCATCTCATGTCCAGTGCCAACAATCCCCAAAAGATAGGTACAATAGTATAAAATTGATGCTTATATTAGTTCCTGTTTAGGTACAGAATATATTTCTGAGAAATACCTCGTCTCTGGTGATATCAGAAAAATTTTGAGTCAGTGGAATAAGTCCTGCTTTTCTGGTCTAATCCATGTCTTCCTGCACTCTCAATTAAGTAAGAATATTGTCTTGAGTCTCGCCACAGTAGAAATGGTAATGCAACACACACGCACACACACACACACACACACACACACACACACACACACACAGAAGTAAAAGGCAGTTTCAGGAGGAATTACAAACTGAGAAATCCAGAAAAGTTATAAAGGGAGAAAAAATATTGTACATCAATACTAATAAACATATTTTAACATAAGTTTATGTAAAAATCATATTTCAAAAAAACTTTACAGAAATAAAAATAATTGTAAGAAAATGTTATGAACAGTTGCACACCAGCAAATCAGATAATGTAGATGAAATAAACAAATTCCTAGGAACATAGTCATTACCAAAATTGACTCAAAAAGAAATAAAAAATCTGAACAAAGTTATAACACAGAATGAGATTGAATCAGTAATAAAAAAATGTCCTAATGAAGAAAAGTCCAGAACCAGATTACTTCATTGGTGAGTTTCATTAAACATTTAATGAAAAATTAACATCAATTTTTCTGAGACTTTTCAAAAAATTTAAGAGAAGAAAACACTTTCTAAATTATTTTGTAAGGTCTGCATTACTCTGATACTAGTCAGAAAAGACATTGCAAGAGAAGAAATTCACAGAGCTATATTCTGTCGGAACATACATACAAAAATCCCTGAAAAATACTAGGAAAACAAATCCAACAGCATATTAAAAGGATTGTAGAGAGTGGCTGAAGATGGATGCCAGACGACCTGGATCTCAGCTAAAGGGCAGTATTCCAGCTACTGAACTTTCAGCAAGTGAATCTCTTGAAAGTCATAATCTTCAGAAAGTGTTTTTTGTGTGTGTAAAAAATGAACTTTTAGCTAGTCATCCTCTTGAATTTTCAGAAGAGAATTTCCAACTCAACCGAGATAAAATGAATATTCCCACAGTGAGAAACATTTAGTGGTTATTTGCTCCACTAAAATTATAAATCGAAATTTAAGGCAGTGCAGCAGGTTCGATGTCTTCCATTTCTTTTGAGCTCAAACCTTTCACTGGATATTTTGAGGGGTAATGAAGAGACTACCAGATTTGAAGCTATTCTTATCTGTCACAAAGTGAAGTAATGGGAGAATGACACTTGGTGGAATATAAACTCAGTTTACTGTAACACAATATGCTGTTCATGAAAATAGAGGGGCTGCATCTTGTTTATAGTCACCTTTTTACTATAATTTGATGCACACAACTTTGAAAGTACTGACACATGGGAATTTTTGCACAAGTAACCTCAGTGATCATTTGAAATTTTGCGGCCGGGCGCGGTGGCTCACGCCTGTAGTCCCAGCACTTTGGGAGGCCGAGGAGGGAGGATCACAAGGTCAGGAGATCGAGACCATCCTGGCTAACACGGTGAAACCCTGTCTCTGCTAAAAATACAAAAAATTAGCCGGGCTTGGTGGCGGGCGCCTGTAGTCCCAGCTACTCGGGAGGCTGAGGCAGGAGAATGGAGTGAACCCGGGAGGCGGAGATTGCAGTGAGCCGAGATCATGCCACTGCACTCCAGCCTGGGCGACAGAGCAAGACTCCGTCTCAAAAAAAAAAAGAAAGAAATTTAATTTTGGGGGTGTTTGGTTTATGGCCAAGTGACAATTGAAGTCACTAAAGACATTATTTTAATGCTTCTAATTTATATTTAAAGATGGCCTTCTATGTCTTTAAAAATTGTTGCTCATAAATATTATAAAATAGTACACAGGTTGAAGTTCAACCTGTTGTCTATGTATTCTATAAATTTGAATAACCATTGTAAGCATTTGAGTCTATAAACTTTATAGTAGCACCTTTCAAAATAAACATTTGTAATTGATTTCAGTGGCAACTATTCAAGTTGAGTACAATATGAGATATTTATACATATTTCAGTATAGTCCATTAATACTATTAAGAATTATATTTACTGTATTGATGCTATTTTAGAATTGTAGCTATTCTCTTTCAATTTGAAGAGTACAAGTTCAGAGGTTTTGGTTTTCGTCTTGTGTTTAAAGTGAAAAATTAAATAAAGCAACCAGCAAATGTAGGTTAAAAAAAAGGGGGTTGTATACCATAACCAAGCGAGATTTGTCCCAATAATACAAAAATGGTTCAACATAAAAAATTCAGTCAACAGAATGCAACACGTAAAGAGCATTTAAAAAATCCACGTGAGCCTCTCAATTGATGCAGAAAAGGCATTTTACAAAATCCAACACAACTTCATGATAAGGAAACTCAGAAAACTAGGGGTAGAAGGAAATGTCCACAACATGATAAAGGGTACATAGGAAAAACTCACAGGAAATATCACATTTAATGCTGAAAAACTGAAAGCTTTTACCCTAAGATCAGGTACAAGACTAGAATGTTCAAATTATCACTGCTATCCAACATCACACTAAAAGTCATAACCAGGGAAATATACAAGAGAAAGAAATTTTAAAAATCCAAATTATAAGAGAAGGAAAACTATATTCACAGATGACATGATCCTATGAATAGGAAATACCAAAGAATCCACAAAAAAAATTCTACTGGACCTAATAAATTAATTAAGCAAAGTTGCAGATAGGCAATGAGCAATCAATAAATAACTAAAAAGACAATTTCATTGAAATAACATACAAATAATAAAATATCTAGGAATAAATTTAACCAAAAAGGTGAAAATCTTGTCAATGGAAACCTATAAAATATTTCTGAAAGAATACCTAAATAAATAGAAAGACATCAATGTTCATGGATTGAGAAATTTAACATTGCTAAAATACCAATACTACTTAAAGCAATCTACAGATTAAATATAATCCTATTAAAATTTCAACAGCCTTTCTTTTCAGAAATCAAAAAGCTGATTCTCAAATGTATATGAAATTTCAAAAAGCCCTGAATAGCCAAAACAATCATGACAAAGGATAACAAAGTTGGAGGACTCACACTTCCTAATTTCAAAACCGAGTACACAGCTATAGGAATAAAAACAATATGGATAGTCATATAGACGAATGGAATATAGTTGAGAGTCCAGAAACCAATCTGTATATTTATGGCCAATTAATTTTTTATTTTTTATTTTATAGGTACATAATAGTTGTACATATTTATGGGGTATATGTGATACTTTGATACAATCAAAGAATGCATAATGATAAAATCTGGGTAATTTGGATATCCATCACCTCAAACATTTATAATTTGATTGTGTTGGAAACAATCTAAGTCTTCTCTTTTAGCTATTGTGAAATGTACAATAATTTTTTGTTAACTATAGTCACCCTGCAGTGCTCTAGAAGACTAGAACATATTCCTTCTACCTAACTGTATTTTTGTACCCACTAACCAACCCATCTTTATCCCCTACTCTCCACTACATTTCCCAGCCTCTGGTAAGCACTATTTTTTTCACCATCTCCATGGGATCAATTTTTTTTTTTTTTTTAGTTCTCACACGAGTGAAAAAAAAGTGATATTTGTCTTTTTGTGCCTATTGTAACAAATTGATTTTTGACAAGGGTGTCAAGTTTATTCAATTGAGGAAGAATAGTTTCTTCAATTAATTGTAGTGGAATAACTAAATTTCCACATGGAAAAGAGTGAAGTTGTACCCGTATGTTAAGCTGTACACAAAAATAATCTCACAATGGATAAATTACCCAAATATAAGAGCAAAAACCTAAAATCTCTTACAAGAAAGCACAGGGATAAACTGTCATGGCCTTGAATATGGTAATGGGTTCTTAGATATGGCACTAAAAACATGAGCAACAAAAGAAAAAAAATGTATATATAATAGACTTCGTCAAAATTAAAAATTTTCATGTATCAAAGGACATTATTAAGAAATTAAAAAGATGGCCAGGCGCGGTGGCTCACGCCTATAATCCAAGCACTTTTGGAGGCCGAGACGGGCGGATCACGAGGTCAGGAGATTGAAACCATCCTGGCTAACACGGTGAAACCCTGTCTCTACTAAAAATACAAAAAAATTAGCTGGCGTGGTGGCATGTCCCTGTAGTCGCAACTACTTGGGAGGCTGAGGCAGGAGAATCGCTTGAACCCGGTAGGCGGAGTTTGCAGTGAGCTGAGATTGTGCCATTGCACTCCAGCCTGGGTGACAGAGTGAGACTCCATCTCAAAAAAAAAAAAAAAAAAGAAAAAGAGAAAAAGTAAAAAGACAACTTACATAGCGGAAGAAAATATTTGAATATTTGCAAATTACATACCTAAGAGATTATAGACAATAGATAAAGAATTCCTACAATTCAACAACAGCAAAAACCAAACAACCCAATTAAAAAATGGGCAAAAGACTTGAATAGATATTTCTCCAAAGATATACAAGTGGGCAATAGCATAAAAGAGATGTTCAACATCATTAGTCATTAGAGAAATGCAAATCAAAACCACTTTACACCAATTAGGATGGTTGTAATAAAAAAAGGAAAACAACAAGTGTTGTTGGGGGTGCACTAAAGTTGGAACCCTTGTACATTGTTGATGGAAATGTAAAATGTTGCAGCTGCTATGGAAACAGTTTGATAGTTCCTCCAAAATTTAAACATAGAATTGTCATATGAACCAGCAATTCCACTCCTAAGTATATATCCAAAGGAAGTGAAAACAGGGACTCAAACAAGTAATTGTATGCCAATGTTCATTGTAGCCTCATTCCTAATAGTGAAAAGGCAGGAGCAGTCCAAGTCTCCATCAACAGATGAATACATAAACAAATATGGTATGTACATTCAATTGAGTAATATTCAGCTATAAAAAGTAATAAAGTTTTGAATCATGTTATGACATGAATGAACCTTGAAAGTTTTACACTAAGTGAAATAAGCCAGACACTAAAAAACAAATATTGTGTAATTTCATTTACATAAAATATCTAGAATATGCAAATTCATAGGCTAGAAAGATTAGAGGTTACTAGAAAATAGGGGCAGACATGAATGAAAAGTCATTGCTTAATGGTACAGTATTTCTGTTTGGAGTGATGAAAGTTTCAGAAATAGATAACGGTGATTATTGCACAAGATTGTGAATGTGATTAATGCCACTGAATTGTATACTTAAATATGATTAAAATGGCCAATTTTATGTTACATATGTTTGACTGCAAGAACCTTTTAAAAATTGCATTGTACCCAGATGCTATTGTTTAGTATTTTCTTTTCCCAGCTAATCATTTTTTCTTTCAACTTTTATTTTAGATAAAGGGGGAACATGTGTAGATTTGTTACATAGGAATACTGCGTGATTTTGAGATTTGGAGTAGAGATCCTGTCACACAGATACTAAGCATAGTACCTAATAGGTAGTTTTTTAACCCAGCTCGTCCCCACAGCCGCCTAGTAGTTTACAGTGTCTGTTGTTACCATATTTATGTCCATGTGTGCTCCATGCTTAGCTCCCACTTACAAGTGAGAATACGTGGTATTTGGTTGTTTAGTTTTAAAACAGAAAAAGAATCCTATCTGCAGGGTTAATTTCATAATTGAAACATGTTAACTAAATTTTCTATGTATTAAAATTCTGCTAAATGAAAACTTCATTTCACTTTAAATATCAAATCAGATAAATTTATGTTGTCAATATATTTAGAGTTAGGATGGATATAAAATCACTCATAAGATACAGAAAATATTTTAATGAAATTCCTCTTTTTAAGAGAAATGAAAATTTTTATCAAAATATATTTATACTTAAATAGCTTTAATGTCCTATGATCTGTTACAAACTTAAAGTTAATTAAATTGAGTCTATAGCAAAAGGAGCAGAAAATTAGTGACTTCAAATCACTGATTAAATTGAAATTTTTGCTACTTCAAATTTTGGAGCAAAACAAGCTAAAGCAATAAGTACAGAAAATGAAACACAAACCTCCAAGATGTCTGGGACTCAGTATATTAAAAGTATATTCAAACTTTGTCTGCTCATATTTACATTTATAGACTTCTATGATATGAACTAATTTTTCTGAAAAATGCCCCCCAAAACCTGTGAGTTTTCAACCACAAAAATGATTGGATTATTTTCATTAGACTCTGCCACTAAGGCTGAAAAAGAGATTCATACATTCTGGAAAGATTTTCAACAACTATTAAGATAAATGGGTCTTTTGTTAATCTTGTTACCTGCAAATTCAATTAATCTCAAAGACATCTTGCACCACTTTCTCAGTTCTTACATTAAATTAGTCAGCTAGTCCCTTCAGATTTCTTATATCTGTTTCTTGTTTCATTCCTACTGCCATTGCCTTTAGCTCAGATCTTCATTTCCTCTTTCCTAGACTATCACAATAGTTCTGGTTCCTCTCCTTACAACCCATCTTTCCCACCGAAATCAAAATTATCTTCACAAATCATCAGTCTGAACTTGTTGCTCTGTTGCTCAAAAATCAGCAGCAGCTACCCAAATGCTTTGTGTAGTATTCAAAGCTCTCACGAATCTGGACCCTCTTTATATCTCTGGTGGCATTTCTTTGTTATTGACTGAATGTTTGTGTGCCCCATGCCAGCAAATTCATTAATTGAAGCCTGATTCCCTAATGTGATGATATTTGGAAAGGAGGTGTTTGGGAGGCAATTAGAGTTAGATAAGGTTATGAGAATGGTGCCTTCATGATGGGATTAGTGCTCTTATATGAAAAGATACCAGAGAATTTGTGTTTCTCTCTCTCTCCTCTCTCCTCTCTCTCTCTCTGTCTTGTGAAGTCACAGCAAGAAGGCAACTGTCTATGTGCCAAGAGGAAAATACTTACGAGGAACTAAATACTGGATCAGCTGGTACCTTGATATTAAACTTTTCAGTCTCCACAACTGTGAGAAAAATAAATATTTAAACCATCCAGTCTATGGTATTTTGTTATGGCAGCCAATCTAATACAGTCCGCAAATTACTCCCTTACTCCATATACTTCTAATCACATGTGTTGATGTCCCAGCCTCTAAGATATGCTGTTCCTTTATTTATGCTCCTCTCTCAGCCTCAAATGCCCTCCTCTATTTTGATCTTTTGTGATTGGACTTTTTAAAAGTAATTTCAACTTTTATTTCAGAATTAGGTGTACATGTGCAGATTTGTTAAATGGGAATTTTGCATGTTGCTGAGATTTAAAATACGAATGATATCGTCACCCAGGTAGTGGGCACAGTACCCAATAGGTAATTTTTCAGCCCTCCCTGCTTTCTTCCCACTCTAGTAGTCTTCAGAGTCTATTGTTCCCATCTTTACGTTCCTGGTTACTCAGTGTTTAGCTCCAACTTGAAAGTGGGAACATGTGGTATTTGGTTTTTGTTTCTGCATTAATTTGCTTGGTATAATGGCCTTTATCTGCACCATGTGGCTGCAAAATACATGATTTTGTTACTTTTTATGGCTGTGTAGTATTCCGGGGTGTATATGTACCACATTTTCTTTATCCAGTCCATCCATGGTTGATTCCATGCCTTTGCTATTGTGAATAGTGCTGCAATTAACATATAAGTGCACATGTCTTTTTGTTTGAAGGATTTGTTTTCCTTTGGGTGTATACCCAATAATGCAATTGCTGAGTCAGATGGTAATTCTGTTCTTAGTTCTTTGAGAAATCTCCAAACTGCTTTCCACAATGACTAAACTAATTTACATTACCATCAACAATGTGTAAGTGTTCTCTTTTTCCCAGAGCCTCTTCAGCATCTGTTATTTATTGTCTTCTTAATAATAGCCATTGTGACTGGTGTGAGATGGTATCACATTGTGGTTTTGATTTGCATTTTTTGATGATTAGTGATGTTGAGAATTTTTTCATGTCTGTTGGCCACCATGTATATGTCTTCTTTTGAGAAGTACCTGTTCATGCTGGGCGCGGTGCCTCACGTCTGTAATCCCAGCACCTTGGGAGACTGAGGTGGGTGGATCACCTGAGGTCCGGAATTCGAGACCAGCCTGACCAACATGGAGAAACCCCGTCTCTAATAAAAATACAAAATTAGCCAGGCGTGGTGGCACATGCCTGTAATCCCAGCTACTTGGTAGGCTGAGGCAGGAGAATCACTTGAACCTGGTAGACTGAGGTTGCAGTGAGCCAAGATCGTGCCATTGCACTCCAGCCTAGGCAACAGAGTGAAACTCTGTCTCAAAAAAAAAAAAAAAAAAAAAAAAGAGAAGTGCCTGTTCATGCCCTTTGCCAATTTTAAAAAAAATTTTTTTGGCTGCTGAGTTAAGTTCTTGATGGTTTGTGAATATTATATTTTCTCCCATTATTAGGTTATCTTCTTACTATGTTGATAGTTTATAGTTTATTTCATTCTGTGGAAGATCTTTAGTTTAATCAAGTCCCATTTTTCAGTTTTTGATTTTGTCACCATTACTTTTGGGAACTTAGTCATAAATTATTTGTCAAGGCTGATGTCTAGAATTATATTTCCTAGGTTTTCTTTTAGGATTTTTATAGTTTGAGGTCTTACATTGAAGTTTTTAATTAATCCTGAGTTATTCTTGTATATTATTTGTGTATTTATATTTTGTAAATTATTTGTATATTTACAAATAATTTACAAATAATATTTAGTAGTATTAGTGTAATTACACTACAGTAGTACATAGTAGTATTATATAGTGTATTAGTAGTAGTGTATATTATAATAAAACTATAATAGTGTATAGTAGTAGTATAAGTAAATAGTATAATATTTGTATATTTTGTATAATTTTGTATATTTTTGTGAAAGATGGGGTTCTAATTTAATTCTTCTGCATATGTCTAGCCAGTTATCACAGGACCATTTATTGAATAGGGAGTCCTTTCTCCATTGTTTATTTTTTTCAACGTTGTGGAAGATTCGATGGTTGTAGATGTTCAGTTTTATTTCTGGGTTCTCTATTCTGTTCCATTGATCTATGTGTCTGTTTTTGTACCAGTACCATGCTGTACTCATTGCAGTAGCCTTATAGTGTAGTTTGAAGTCAGATAAGGTGATGCCACTAGCTTTGTTCTCTTTGCATAGAATTACTTTGGCTATTTGGGCTCTTTTTTGCTTTCATGTGAATTTTGCAATTTTTTTTTCTAATTCTGTGAACAATGGCATTGGAGGTTTGGTATGAATAGTATTAAATCTTTAGAGTGCTCTGGGCAGTATGGCCATTTTAATGATATCAGTCTTCCAATCTGTGATTATGGAATGTTTTTCTGTTTGTTTATGTCATCTCTGATTTCCTTCAGAAGAATTTTGTAATTAATTGTACTTCCAGATATCTTTCACCTCCTTGATTAAATGTATTCCTAGGTATATTTTTTTTGTGTCAAATGTCCTCCTCTGACTCAATTTATTGCAATGCTATATATCTATCAGTTCATTTTGTGCTGTTAAGATAAAATACCACAGACTGGGTAATTTATAAAAAGTAGAAATTTATTGGCTTAGAGTTCTGGATGCTGGGGAAACCAAGGTCAAGGTGCCAGCATCTTCTGAGGACTTTCTTGCTGCATTATCCCATAGGAGGTGTGTGTGTGTGTGTGTGTGTGTGTGAGAGAGAGAGAAAGAAAGTAAGAGAACATGATATCAACATTAATACATTTGTGAGGGCAGAGCCCTCATGATCTAATCACTTCTTAACAGTCCCACCTCTTAATACCATCAGAATAACAAACTTCAATATGAGTTTTGTAAGGGACATTCAAGCCATAGCAACATCCTTTAATCCTACCTCAAATATTGCGACCTCCTCTATGAAGCTTTTTCAGTCTTCAAAATAATAAATAATTATTTTATTCTTGAAATTTCTTTAATCGTTCGTTTTTCTAGAATAACACTCAATATATTCTGCTTTATAATATATCCAAGATGTGTTAAAGAAGTCTAACAGCCACATTAAACTCTCAATACCTTGAAGGCAGAATGTTTTGTTCCTATGTTTCCTCATGACTTTCAGCACAGAGCATACTTACAAAAGGTAGATATAAATGTAGAATTGACTAGACCCTTTCTTCCCTGAATTTGGAGTTTAATATAATTTGACCGTGTACTTTGTTTACCTTTGTCTCCTTTGTCCAACATAGAAGTTATGATCCTCAATGAGAGCCCCAAAGACCTCAAACTCTGATCCTCTTCTGAGGAAAGACTCCTATTCATGGCTATATACACACACACAGATTGATGTCATGAGTATCCATCCTGTGTAGATGCATAAGACAGCCATACACAGATGGACCCTAGGGTTGGTTTAAAGCACTGCTGTCAGTATTTTGGAATTCTTAATAACTTTACCTGTGAATTATATTCAAAGTTTTGTAAGTGAAGACCAATAGCACAATGGTGCATATGTGTGAGCAGAGGAAATGTGCACTGCTGTCAGTATTTTGGAATTCTTAATAACTTTATCTGTGAATTATATTCAAAGTTTTCTAAGTGAAGACCAATAGCACAATGGTGCATGTGTGTGAGAGGAGGAAATGTGCACAATATGAGTGTCTATCATTTCTTGCTACCCAATTTGCATACAGAACTTGTGAGGATGATGGACACATGATATGTAGTAGGTCAGTAAGACTCAAAACAAATACAAGGTATGTGCATTAACATTATTATAACTGAGTAAGCCTAGTCTCTGACAGGCCTTACGGGCAATATTTTCTTTTGCACCAGAACTTGCTTCAAATGCAGAAAGAAGGCAATGGTGTTCTAATAAACAAGAATAACCAAAAAAAAAACTATCATATTCTTTCTTATTCATGTTACTTTCTTTTATTAGCCAACCACTTTTCCTAGAAATGATGACATAGAATGAAAGGGAAAGACACAGCAAGCCATATATATATATGTGTATATATGTGTGTATATATGTATATACGTATATATGTTATATATTATATATAATATATGTACATATATATGTATATATGTATATACGTATATACGTTATATATTATATATAATATATGTACATATATGTACATACATATACATATATGTACATATATTATATATGTGTATACATATATAATATATGTACATATATTATATATGTGTATACATATATAATATATGTACATATATTATATATGTGTGCACATATACATATATGTACATATATTATATATGTATACACGTATATACATATACATGTATGCACATATATATGTATACACATATATACATATACATGTATGCACATATATATGTATACACGTATATACATATACATGTATACACATATATATGTATACACATATACACATATACATGTATACACATATATACATATATAATTATATACATATATATAATATAAAATATAAAAATATTCTATATTCTATATTATATAATATACATTATATATTATATAATATACAGATTATATATATCATATAGTATATGATATATATATTAGTTTTCAGTCCTTTCTTCCTCAATAGGGAGCCAAAAGTAGAGAATGTTGCTAGAATGTATGCTGTGTCAGGCGGTGTAATAACAACAGTTGAGTTGGTTTTGTGCAGCATTTCCACCGCTTTTGTAAAAACAAAACATATGTGCATGTACAAGCTATAAAATAAGAATTGTGTAATATAGGTGATTTCACATATGAGTTATATCTGAATTTAAATGCTTATATTTAAATGCTGATATTTGCATTTAAATCTGTCATTGCACAATACAAAGATTAATTGTAAACTTCACACTAATATTTAAAATTTTAATTTGTATTTATATATAGCCACAATAAAAAGCAAATAATAAACACTATTACACATCTAGAGAGAGAGATGGCAAAAGAAGGAAAAAAATTTTATGTTTTAATTATTTTAATGGTACTTTTTCCCTGCATTTTGAACAAGGAGAATCCCATTTTCATTTTGCACTGGGCTCTGCAAATTATATAGCCAGAGAAAATGCCCTTTGTTTTTTGGCTACATGGCTGCAGCTGCTATTTGGTTAATCTGCCCCTTATATTTGTAGGCTACTCAAGTTTTCTTTTCTCAAAAAGCAATCCAATAAACCAATTTTGTATTTCTGCTAGAATATTTTCCAACTTCCTCCAGAGGTGAAGTGATGTTTGAAGCTAGGTCAGGTGCTTTTTTCCTTTTAACCCAGGTTTGCCCCATTTGAGTTAGCTTATGGAAATCCTTTTTACAGACCAATTAATTAGGTTAATAGAATAAGCTTTTTACTCAGCTGGATCTGAATGTGAATTCTGACTCCACTCTCTATTTACAATGTCATCTTGAGCAAGTTACCTATTCTCCTTAAATCTGTTTGCCAAGCTCTACCCTCAGAGACTCTGAGGCAGTCTGACTTTATAATCAATTGACTAAGTGCTTATATGTAGATAGTATGCATACTGCTACTTGGGATTTCCTGGATAGGATAATTTTTAATTTGCCTTTTTATCCTTTGAGTTCATGATTCTATGAAGTACACAAGCTCCTCAGGTCCTTGCTGTGTATATGCCTTAGAATGAGGTATTTTCTGTTTCCTATAAAAAGAGCCAAATTCCTCATTAAGATGGGATCCTCAACAGCATGGTATGCAGGACAAAGCAAGTCTTTCTTAATCTGATCCAAATATCAGACAAAATGTGATATTATTATAAGGTTATAGATTTTCTTTTTTTTTTTTAATTTTTTTTTTTATTATACTCTAAGTTTTAGGGTACATGTGCACATTGTGCAGGTTAGTTACATATGTATACATGTGCCATGCTGGTGCACTGCACCCACTAACGTGTCATCTAGCATTAGGTATATCTCCCAATGCTATCCCTCCCCCCTCCCCCGACCCCACCACAGTCCCCAGAGTGTGATATTCCCCTTCCTGTGTCCATGTGATCTCATTGTTCAATTCCCACCTATGAGTGAGAATATGCGGTGTTTGGTTTTTTGTTCTTGCGATAGTTTACTGAGAATGATGGTTTCCAATTTCATCCATGTCCCTACAAAGGACATGAACTCATCATTTTTTATGGCTGCATAGTATTCCATGGTGTATATGTGCCACATTTTCTTAATCCAGTCTATCATTGTTGGACATTTGGGTTGGTTCCAAGTCTTTGCTATTGTGAATAGTGCCGCAATAAACATACGTGTGCATGTGTCTTTATAGCAGCATGATTTATAGTCCTTTGGGTATATACCCAGTAATGGGATGGCTGGGTCAAATGGTATTTCTAGTTCTAGATCCCTGAGGAATCGCCACACTGACTTCCACAATGGTTGAACTAGTTTACAGTCCCACCAACAGTGTAAAAGTGTTCCTATTTCTCCACATCCTCTCCAGCACCTGTTGTTTCCTGACTTTTTAATGATTGCCATTCTAACTGGTGTGAGATGATATCTCATAGTGGTTTTGATTTGCATTTCTCTGATGGCCAGTGATGATGAGCATTTCTTCATGTGTTTTTTAGCTGCATAAATGTCTTCTTTTGAGAAGTGTCTGTTCATGTCCTTCGCCCACTTTTTGATGGGGTTGTTTTTTTCTTGTAAATTTGTTTGAGTTCATTATAGATTCTGGATATTAGCCCTTTGTCAGATGAGTAGGTTGCGAAAATTTTCTCCCATGTTGTAGGTTGCCTGTTCACTCTGATGGTAGTTTCTTTTGCTGTGCAGAAGCTCTTGAGTTTAATTAGATCCCATTTGTCAATTTTGGCTTTTGTTGCCATTGCTTTTGGTGTTTTGGACATGAAGTCCTTGCCCACGCCTATGTCCTGAATGGTAATGCCTAGGTTTTCTTCTAGGGTTTTTATGGTTTTAGGTCTAACGTTTAAATCTTTAATCCATCTTGAATTGATTTTTGTATAAGGTGTAAGGAAGGGATCCAGTTTCAGCTTTCTACATATGGTTAGCCAGTTTTCCCAGCACCATTTATTAAATAGGGAATCCTTTCCCCATTGCTTGTTTTTCTCAGGTTTGTCAAAGATCAGATAGTTGTAGATATGCGGCATTATTTCTGAGGACTCTGTTCTGTTCCATTGATCTATATCTCTGTTTTGGTACCAGTCCCATGCTGTTTTGGTTACTGTAGCCTTGTAGTATAGTTTGAAGTCAGGTAGTGTGATGCCTCCGGCTTTGTTCTTTTGGCTTAGGATTGACTTGGCGATGCGGGCTCTTTTTTGGTTCCATATGAACTTTAAAGTAGTTTTTTCCAATTCTGTGAAGAAAGTCATTGGTAGCTTGATGGGGATGGCATTGAATCTGTAAATTACCTTGGGCAGTATGGCCATTTTCACGATATTGATTCTTCCTACCCATGAGCATGGAATGTTCTTCCATTTGTTTGTGTCCTCTTTTATTTCCTTGAGCAGTGGTTTGTAGTTCTCCTTGAAGAGTTCCTTCACATCCCTTGTAAGTTGGATTCCTAGGTATTTTATTCTCTTTGAAGCAATTGTGAATGGGAGTTCACTCATGATTTGGCTCTCTGTTTGTCTGTTGTTGGTGTATAAGAATGCTTGTGATTTTTGTACATTGATTTTGTATCCTGAGACTTTGCTGAAGTTGCTTATCAGCTTAAAGAGATTTTGGGCTGAGACAATGGGGTTTTCTAGATAAACAATCATGTCGTCTGCAAACAGGGACAATTTGACTTCCTCTTTTCCTAATTGAATACCCTTTATTTCCTTCTCCTGCCTGATTGCCCTGGCCAGAACTTCCAACACTATGTTGAATAGGAGCGGTGAGAGAGGGCATCCCTGTCTTGTGCCAGTTTTCAAAGGGAATGCTTCCAGTTTTTGCCCATTCAGTATGATATTGGCTGTGGGTTTGTCATAGATAGCTCTTATTATTTTGAAATACGTCCCATCAATACCTAATTTATTGAGAGTTTTTAGCATGAAGGGTTGTTGAATTTTGTCAAAGGCTTTTTCTGCATCTATTGAGATAATCATGTGGTTTTTGTCTTTGGCTCTGTTTATATGCTGGATTACATTTATTGATTTGCGTATATTGAACCAGCCTTGCATCCCAGGGATGAAGCCCACTTGATCATGGTGGATAAGCTTTTTGATGTGCTGCTGGATTCGGTTTGCCAGTATTTTATTGAGGATTTTTGCATCAATGTTCATCAAGGATATTGGTCTAAAATTCTCTTTTTTGGTTGTGTCTCTGCCCGGCTTTGGTATCAGAATGATGCTGGCCTCATAAAATGAGTTAGGGAGGATTCCCTCTTTTTCTATTGATTGGAATAGTTTCAGAAGGAATGGTACCAGTTCCTCCTTGTACCTCTGGTAGAATTCGGCTGTGAATCCATCTGGTCCTGGACTCTTTTTGGTTGGTAAACTATTGATTATTGCCACAATTTCAGAGCCTGTTATTGGTCTATTCAGAGATTCAACTTCTTCCTGGTTTAGTCTTAGGAGAGTGTATGTGTCGAGGAATGTATCCATTTCTTCTAGATTTTCTAGTTTATTTGCGTAGAGGTGTTTGTAGTATTCTCTGATGGTAGTTTGTATTTCTGTGGGATCGGTGGTGATATCCCCTTTATCATTTTTTATTGTGTCTATTTGATTCTTCTCTCTTTTTTTCTTTATTAATCTTGCTAGCGGTCTATCAATTTTGTTGATCCTTTCAAAAAACCAGCTCCTGGATTCATTGATTTTTTGAAGGGTTTTTTGTGTCTCTATTTCCTTCAGTTCTGCTCTGATTTTAGTTATTTCTTGCCTTCTGCTAGCTTTTGAATGTGTTTGCTCTTGCTTTTCTAGTTCTTTTAATTGTGATGTTAGGGTGTCAATTTTGGATCTTTCCTGCTTTCTCTTATAGGCATTTAGTGCTATAAATTTCCCTCTACACACTGCTTTGAATGCGTCCCAGAGATTCTGGTATGTGGTGTCTTTGTTCTCGTTGGTTTCAAAGAACATCTTTATTTCTGCCTTCATTTCGTTATGTACCCAGTAGTCATTCAGGAGCAGGTTGTTCAGTTTCCATGTAGTTGAGCGGCTTTGAGTGAGATTCTTAATCCTGAGTTCTAGTTTGATTGCACTGTGGTCTGAGAGATAGTTTGTTATAATTTCTGTTCTTTTACATTTGCTGAGGAGAGCTTTACTTCCAACTATGTGGTCAATTTTGGAATAGGTGTGGTGTGGTGCTGAAAAGAATGTATATTCTGTTGATTTGTGGTGGAGAGTTCTGTAGATGTCTATTAGGTCTGCTTGGTGCAGAGCTGAGTTCAATTCCTGGGTATCCTTGTTGACTTTCTGTCTCGTTGATCTGTCTAATGTTGACAGTGGGGTGTTAAAGTCTCCCATTATTAATGTGTGGGAGTCTAAGTCTCTTTGTAGGTCACTCAGGACTTGCTTTATGAATCTGGGTGCTCCTGTATTGGGTGCATAAATATTTAGGATAGTTAGCTCCTCTTGTTGAATTGATCCCTTTACCATTATGTAATGGCCTTCTTTGTCTCTTTTGATCTTTGTTGGTTTAAAGTCTGTTTTATCAGAGACTAGGATTGCAACCCCTGCCTTTTTTTGTTTTCCATTGGCTTGGTAGATCTTCCTCCATCCTTTTATTTTGAGCCTATGTGTGTCTCTGCACGTGAGATGGGTTTCCTGAATACAGCACACTGATGGGTCTTGACTCTTTATCCAACTTGCCAGTCTGTGTCTTTTAATTGCAGAATTTAGTCCATTTATATTTAAAGTTAATATTGTTATGTGTGAATTTGATCCTGTCATTATGATGTTAGCTGGTGATTTTGCTCATTAGTTGATGCAGTTTCTTCCTAGTCTCGATGGTCTTTACATTTTGGCATGATTTTGCAGCGGCTGGTACCGGTTGTTCCTTTCCATGTTTAGCGCTTCCTTCAGGAGCTCTTTTAGGGCAGGCCTGGTGGTGACAAAATCTCTCAGCATTTGCTTGTCTATAAAGTATTTTATTTCTCCTTCACTTATGAAGCTTAGTTTGGCTGGATATGAAATTCTGGGTTGAAAATTCTTTTCTTTAAGAATGTTGAATATTGGCCTCCACTCTCTTCTGGCTTGTAGGGTTTCTGCCGAGAGATCCGCTGTTAGTCTGATGGGCTTTCCTTTGAGGGTAACCCGACCTTTCTCTCTGGCTGCCCTTAACATTTTTTCCTTCATTTCAACTTTGGTGAATCTGACAATTATGTGTCTTGGAGTTGCTCTTCTCGAGGAGTATCTTTGTGGTGTTCTCTGTATTTCCTGAATCTGAACGTTGGCCTGCCTTTCTAGATTGGGGAAGTTCTCCTGGATAATATCCTGCAGAGTGTTTTCCAACTTGGTTCCATTCTCCCCGTCACTTTCAGGTACACCAATCAGACGTAGATTTGGTCTTTTCACATAGTCCCATATTTCTTGGAGGCTTTGCTCATTTCTTTTTATTCTTTTTTCTCTAAACTTCCCTTCTCGCTTCATTTCATTCATTTCATCTTCCATTGCTGATACCCTTTCTTCCAGTTGATCGCATCGGCTCCTGAGGCTTCTGCATTCTTCACGTAGTTCTCGAGCCTTGGTTTTCAGCTCCATCAGCTCCTTTAAGCACTTCTCTGTATTGGTTATTCTAGTTATACATTCTTCTAAATTTTTTTCAAAGTTTTCAACTTCTTTGCCTTTGGTTTGAATGTCCTCCCGTAGCTCAGAGTAATTTGATCGTCTGAAGCCTTCTTCTCTCAGCTCGTCAAAATCATTCTCCATCCAGCTTTGTTCTGTTGCTGGTGAGGAACTGCGTTCCTTTGGAGGAGGAGAGGCGCTCTGCGTTTTAGAGTTTCCAGTTTTTCTGTTCTGTTTTTTCCCCATCTTTGTGGTTTTATCTACTTTTGGTCTTTGATGATGGTGATGTACAGATGGGTTTTCGGTGTAGATGTCCTTTCTGGTTGTTAGTTTTCCTTCTAACAGACAGGACCCTCAGCTGCAGGTCTGTTGGAATACCCTGCTGTGTGAGGTGTCAGTGTGCCCCTGCTGGGGGGTGCCTCCCAGTTAGGCTGCTCGGGGGTCAGGGGTCAGGGACCCACTTGAGGAGGCAGTCTGACCGTTCTCAGATCTCCAGCTGCGTGCTGGGAGAACCACTGCTCTCTTCAAAGCTGTTAGACAGGGACACTTAAGTCTGCAGAGGTTACTGCTGTCTTTTTGTTTGTCTGTGCCCTGCCCCCAGAGGTGGAGCCTACAGAGGCAGGCAGGCCTCCTTGAGCTGTGGTGGGCTCCACCCAGTTCGAGCTTCCTGGCTGCTTTGTTTACCTAAGCAAGCCTGGGCAATGGCGGGCGCCCCTCCCCCAGCCTCGTTGCCGCCTTGCAGTTTGATCTCAGACTGCTGTGCTAGCAATCAGCGCGATTCCGTGGGCGTAGGACCCTCTGAGCCAGGTGTGGGATATAGTCTCGTGGTGCGCCGTTTCTTAAGCCGGTCTGAAAAGCGCAATATTCGGGTGGGAGTGACCTGATTTTCCAGGTGTGTCCGTCACCCCTTTCTTTGACTCGGAAAGGGAACTCCCTGACCCCTTGCGCTTCCCAGGTGAGGCGATGCCTCGCCCTGCTTCGGCTCGCGCACGGTGCGCACACACACTGGCCTGCGCCCACTGTCTGGCACTCCCTAGTGAGATGAACCCGGTACCTCAGATGGAAATGCAGAAATCACCCGTCTTCTGCGTCGCTCACGCTGGGAGCTGTAGACCGGAGCTGTTCCTATTCGGCCATCTTGGCTCCTCCCAAGGTTATAGATTTTCCCTTGGTAGAAAGTAACACTTCAGAGTTCTGGTACATAGAACTACCGAAACAAGTTGTATATGGATGTGTGACCTAAGGAAGGCATCTTTCCAAAAATAGTTGCTGATATATTGGCAATATATTGAGCCCTATTCTTCCATATAAGGTTAGTGAAATTACTGTGAATATGTATAAAATACAGAAGATTGATTGGTGTAGGCAATTAAAGACTATTGATGTATAATCCATTTGGTCTGCCAGTTACAATTTAAAATGAATAAAAACACACGCCTTAATAGTAATTAATCAAATTTTTATTTCTCTGAAAAATCTAGCCTTACAATTACAGAAGAGACTTTGGGGAGTGGGGGAAGGAATGGAGAAGACTTTTGAAAAGAGGTGAGTTGCATGTTGGGGTAAACAAGATATTAGGGTAAGCTGGCCGAGGAATGGGGAACTGGATTCAGACAGCCAGAGAAAAACCTGAGGAAATCTGAGGTGAGACAGGGGTACAAAAAGTTTAGTGAGAACGTACCATTGCAATTTCAGCAAATGTACATGCAACAGAAAGTCTGAGAGTGTCCCTCTTGGCCCTCTTTCCACAGCTTACTGCTGCCTAGATTGCTGCACTAATTAAGAACATTATAAGAATACATAGAGTACCTAACTATGCCTGTTCCTGTACTCTAATATTTCCACCTTCATGATTATGACCCCAAATAGTTCATTATTGATAATTAACATTTATTCCCTACTTTCTAATTGTGAGTCTTGCCAGGAGGTCAGTGAGGTTGGGTTTCAGTATTAAATAATTTTACCAATTTGTCCTGCTCTGCTTGCTGCTTTGCAGATTTCCCAGTTAGTTCACTTTTCCTGAAGCCACACTCCTATGGTGAGGTAACCAGAGCCACTCAAAAATCAATAGATCAGCATCTCAAGTAGAAATCAATGGGATTTTTTTTGTATGTGACTGCACATTCCCTGTGTGGATGTTCAATAAGATTATGTACTGGGTGTTTTCCTCTGATACACTTCTATCCCAAAAACTAGATGGATGGGTCATATATATAAAAAGGAGCCAGTATTTGGATATTGCCTAGTCTGCATGTGTTATTTTATGCTAACGACTTTGTAAACATATATTTTCTCTCTCATAATCTAATTATAGGCCTTCTCATTTAAAATATTGCATGAGAGACGAGTTAATGGGTGCAGCACACCAACACGGCACATGTATGTATATGTAACAAACCTGCACGTTGTGCACATGTACCCTAAAACTTAGAGTATAATAAAAATAAAATAAAATAAAATAAAATATTGCATGAGAGTAGGTCATTATGCTAATACACTTAGGGAAATAACTCAGGATCACTGAAGCTAATCCTTGTTCAACTTTCTAATTGAGAGGCTCTTTAAGTGACCAGGAAAAAATGCCCTGTTTTATGAACTGGTGGGCATGTCTCAGACTAAGAAACATTTCCTTCAAAGCAAATTTTAAAGTTAAATATGCCGGCCAGGCGCAGGGGCTCACGCCTGTAATCCCAGCGCTTTTGGAGGCCGAAGCGGGCAGATCACGAGGTCAGGAGATCGAGACCATCCTGGCTAATATGATGAAACCCCGTCTCTACTAAAAATAAAAAAAATTAGCCGGGCGTTGTGGCGGGCGCCTGTAATCCCAGCTACTTGGGAGGCTGAGGCAGGAGAATGGCGTGAACCCGGGAGGCGGAGCTTGCAGTGAGCAAAGATCGCGCCACTGCACTCCAGCCTGGGTGACAGAGCGAGACTCCGTCTCAAAAAAGTAAATAAATAAATAAATAAATTAATTAATTAATTAATTAAAGTTAAATATACCAAATGCATTCTTTTTAAAAAAGAATTTTGCATTAATGTAGCCATTGAAAGGAGCTTTTGATTTCTTGAAATAATTTTTGTTGTTTTTCTGAAAGATTTAGTTTAGAAACCTGAAGAACTTTGAAATATTTGGTAGTAATATGAACACAAGAGTTTTTAATGAATCTTAAAGATTTGAAGATGAAGGGCTTTCAGTCCTGTAAAGTCGTAGTTTATTTGTATCTCATATGCAGGCATAGAGGTGTGGTAGAAGAGAATGATGCTAATGTTGGCTTCAGCTATGTGTCCTTACTCCGACTGGTCCTCATTCCCCCACACCCCTTTTCTGGATACAGAAAAGGAAAGAAGGTGAGACCTAACTTACTGATGCATGGCACTATTTTGGGCTGTTTACAAATACTTAATCATCTGGCTACTTTATCCTTCCTGCTGGACTCCTTTCTGGGATATCTGTGTTGTAAAGCCTTAGAAATTTAAAAATATTTATTGAATGACAAGATGAAGATGATATTTCTATCTTGTATTACTTTTTAAGAGTCATGATAAATTGGTTTTATTATAAAGTGCCGTAATTAGGCCACTGAGTAGGACATACACATTTTTTCTTCCTATCTTCATTTCTCTTTCTCACACTCACTTGGTAGCTCTCATTCTTTTTTTTCTTTTCCTGGAGGCATATCTAAGCACCATCACCAAATGACAATCACAAAGGAAAATAGGCAAGAAATGGAAAGTGGCTTCACATTGAAAGAGTTCCTCTCAAACATAATGTCCTGTTTTTCTATGAGATTACCATTTCTAAGACATTTTTCCATTTTTTGAAAAAATGTTGACATTTTTTGATATAAAAGTGTTATCTACAATATACAGTCAAATTTCCAACACAGTGAAGAAATAACTTGGTGCTGATCATTAGGGACAGGCTAGGGATAAAAACTGACGCTGAAAAACATGTTCAGATTTACAATGTGGGGGAAATACATCTGCAATTGTCTCTTTTACTTAGCAAGAAGAAAGATACAGAGATATTTGTGACTGTAGTGTATCATTTTAAACAGAATTTCCAGCTTCTCTTTTTGATATCTATTTTCCTATTTCCTTTTATGCCCCTCTGTGTTGATTTTATTTCTGTTACAATGATTTAAAAAAGAACAAGGAAGGGAAACAGGGCTTCCTTCTCTGTTATTTATTTCTCCCTTGGCTATCAGATGGCTTAGTTTTAAGAGACATGTGTAATACATCCTTTTCCTTGATGCCGTTTTCAATACCATAGTTGCAGCTGCCAATCTCTTACCAGATCTTTTGCTTTGAGGAAAAAAAAATATTTTTCTTAAATACTAAAATGTGTCTTAAAGTCTTTCCATATGTATGTTTTTCATCCATTTTTATATGGAAATATGATCTCTTGGTTTTGGAAAAGTGGCTTTTTGTAAATGAACAGAAAGGACCTGCCGTGATAGTTTTGGCAGTGTCCCATTAGTGAAACTGAAAAAAAAAAAAAGATTTAAAAACAAGGTAGATGTAGTTTGATCAATTTTTTCCCAAAGAGATACATGTCTGAACAAACACTGGTTATCCTTTAGCCTCACCTTCTTTGAGAAGCCTCTCCTGACTACCCAACCTCCACTGGTCTCTGCTTTTTCAAGTTCCCGTATTTCCAAATATTCATCTTAGGCAATTTTAGGACAGCTTAACTTGCCTAAAGTCACTTAACAGTTAAACAACAGAGCTAGGATTTTGACCCAGGCAGTTTGGCTTCAGAGTCTGCCTGAACTCTTAATCACCATTCTATACTACCTTTTCATGACAGGCCCTCTAATATGAGGAAAAACTTTGATTAGCTGAATTTAAACTCTGGAAGAAAAACAGAGAAGAGGGCTGTGCATGTTGGCTTGCTTTCATCTCAGAGTTTCATTTTATTCAAAGTATGCCGTTACATTCAATGGCTTTAAAATTTGTTGGTTCGAAGGAATGTGAAAGTACCTGAGAAAACTGTTATGTTTCAAACTGACTTTAAAAATGTCTGTCTATTTGCTGGGGATGTAGGGATTAGGGAGAGGGATAGTGGTAAAAATTGAACAAGTGTTCCTGCTCAGGGCTATCTTGGAAGCCCCAAAGCCAGAGGAGATGAAATTAGCTATGCAAGCCTGACTTAAAATGGCACGGGGCCATAGAGGAAACCCATTTCCCTATTAGCTTACTCTAGTTCAGTCAGTGGGCTTTGTCTTCATTATCACTGTTGTTTTTGCTTTCTGATCCACTGTTATTTATGATTTAAAAAAAAATCTGTTATTCTTATCTAATTCCCCATCACTTCTCAAGATATTACAATGTTTCTGACAAGCCTTCAGGTTTCCATAAGATTGTTTTTGAGGATGGCCCATTTTGGCTTGCTCCTTAAATGTCCAAACCCTTTCTTTTCCAGTCCTCCTACAATAAAAAAAAAAAAAAAATAGAAAAAAAATTATAAAATTTTAAATAAAAAAGGAGGACAAAATGACCATATATAAGTCAATGCTTATATAAGCTGGGTGACAGAAATGAAAGCATATGTCTTTTATAAGACTCAAGCTGGTGACTTGATGTTAGGTTTTCTAGGTCTCAGCCATTTGGTTCAGCTCTGTTGGTTCATAACTGTGTGACTTTGAGCAAATAGAATCCTCTTCTCTTAGCCCATTTGCTCATTAATAAATGAGATAGAGTGGCCAATGAAAGAAGTTCTTTAATACAAAAGTAAACTCCAGCAAGGAATTATGCATGAGCATCTCTAATTTGTACTGACTTTAATATTCTAATGTTAATCCATGTCTCAATACATATTACCAAGGAGAATTAAATCATAATATCTAATACTTAGAATGGTGTTCACTACATGGCAGCCACCCTTTAAATTAATTCCAAGCTATTCAGTCTACACAACAACCCTAGGATAGAGACACTACTATTTCCTTCATCTTACAGCTGAGGACACCCCTATCCACAGGTGAGGCTAAAAACACTTAGGCAAATTCATAAAACTAGTAAGTGACAGAGTTACAATTTGAATTCAGCCAAACTGGCTCCAGCAACCATGCACTCAACTGTTATACATTAGCTGTGTTTCTTAATAGTAATTGAAAAAATAGTGAGTATTAATTGAAAAGGATGCAAGTGTTAACTGAAAAAAGATAAAATTAGCAAATATTTACAGAGCCCCTTCTCTCCACAGGATTCCAAAGTTTATATACAAATGCCCATCTATTTCGGCATCGCTTTCCTTTCCCCAAAGTTGAAAACACGTGGACAAGTGTTCACATGTTTGTTCAAAAGTTCTATTGAACAAAAAGTTCAATAGAACTTTTTGTTAGTTAGTTTCACATTTTCAAGTCTACCTTAATGAGAACACAGTAAAAAGTCATAAGGGAATGGATTGTACCAGGACAGACTTATTCATCTATTTGTAAATATGGATGGATGTGTTCTTCACACACTCCTTGTGGGAAGAACAGAATTACTCTCATCTGCCTATTTGCAACTGAGCTGTTTTCTGAAAGTAGGCTATAATGTAACATGTGTAATGTTCAAAAGCCTCATAGGTTTAACCTCTTTTTAAAAGCTATTGTCCTTAATTTTTCATAACAGAAAAAAACTGTATTTGCAACTAAATTAAATCCCTTCAATCAAAGAACACACAAAGCCCTCTTGCTCTTTTGTACTTAGGTAATGCCCAATTCCTGATGGCTGATTTTGATGACAGGTAAAATTGCTTAATTCACAGTGGTTTTATACACACACAATTCACACACTCTATTTTACCATTTTCTATTCTTGCTGGAGATACTTAAAGGGTACTCTCACCTCTTTACCACATCTCTCCCAAGTTACCTTTAGGTTCACATTTACTGGTAACTGTTTTACAAGTAAAGAGATCAGATTAAGGTCAAGTAGTGATAATTATGATCTCTCTGGCTGGCTGAGTCTACACACACGCTGAAGTGGATAATTGAGACAACTATCAAGATAATTCAAGGCAAAAAATGGTTCTTGCTTTAATTATCTGACTATTTCAGATGACTGTGTTTTGAACTGAATTATCCACCTAATTGCTTCAATTTTCCACTTCACTTTGTCTGGGGTGCCCACAATTTGCTGCAGTGTTTAACTGATAAATATATCTCCCCAAATCTACTTCTTTCCCCACTTCCATTTACTGATTTTTACACCAGCCTGGCCTTTCAAAAATTCAGTCCCTGGGGGGAATTCCAGATAATTTCAGACTTGGAGAGTTGAATTCCAATGTGACCTTGGGCAGTTAGTGGTACCTCTCAGGGCTTTATGCAAAATGTAATAATCTCAGAACCATCCCAGCTCTGACATTCTATGAATGATTTTGTCTCATCGGACTAGACTTAGAGAAAACAGTGATGTTTTCTCTAAGTGTCAGGCCCCATCTATCCGTGCAACTTATATCCATGCTGAGGATGCCAGATACCGACAGTCTGTGGCTGAGTCTCATATCCAGAACTGCAGTCCCAGGAACAATCTCTTCTTTGCTACAGAGACTTTCTGGCTTCTGCCTTGCTCTGAACATTTGGCTAGGAGAGCACCATCATTTTCACAAGAAAAATATTCCATGTGTTTGTGCATACATACATTTGAGTGTCTGCTGTTGCTATTCCTGCAAAACATTTTCTTTCCAAAGGAGTGACTGTTAACAGGCAGCGAAAACTGGCTGCAAGGAACACAAAAAAGAAAGTGAAAGGTGAGAGTCTAGTGAGGTTGCCTGGAGGTGCCGAATACTTATTAAACGAAACTGTCAAGCTGATTTTCAAAGGGCTGTGTTTCAGAGACCTGTTAATGAGTTGAATTCATTTTCCATGCCAATTACTTGGAGTCCAAGTTTCTACAGTAGCCTGCTGTTATCCTCCCATGTAAACACTCTCAACTGCTTATGTAGCTCTTCTTATGGAGCCAAGCCAAATCGAAACCAGAGCTAGGTTTCACTTGCAAATAGAAGACAGTAATGGTAAATTGTTCACCCTTTCCCTGGAAAGGTTGTCATCAAACCAATTCTGCCTCCCTAGGTTTAGCTTGTCCAGATAACATGTTAATGAACTTGCTGATGAGCTATAATCACATTGGTAGAATTTCCCAAACTGAGTTGACAGCCATATCTGTAGGTAGTGTCTTTTAACTATCTTTGCATCATTTGAATATGAAGGGGAAATTAACGGGCCATCCCTAGACTACATTCAGAAGTTTCATGATCCTGTCTGAACAGATTGTTGAATATATGATCACGTTTCCCAAATTTCTTGTTTTGTTTACATTTTCTCTAGGGAAATAGAAGTGCAGAGGTTAAGTACCCGATTAGAAAAGGCAAAAATGTAGTTTTCCCTATTTCCCGCACTATAGCCTCACTGTGAGAAAAATTTTAAATATTTTTCTTATTACAAATTCATGATACTTAAAACTGTGTTTCCTTTCTACTGGATACAATGAAGACATCCATAATTATGCATGATTTATACTGATATTTGGCATATTTGCTCAGAGCTCAAAATCTTTCAAGGAATCACTAATGGCATAGTAAAATTGCTTTTCAAAAATTCTCCTCAATGCTTTAAAAGATCAGTATGACTGCAGAGTGGATCATGATCAGAAAGTGGTAATAATCATTATCTTTTAATAAAATAAATTTTATTTTTAGAATTGTCACTTTAGGCAGCTGTGTAAAATTTTGCACTCTGGCCCTTGAGAGCAGGGCTAACTTCATGGGCATGTTACCTGTGCCATCACAAGAACTCCACACTCAAAATTGTGTTCTGTGCTTGTGCTTGAGGTTTAATGCTCTGCAGTCACTATCTTGAAAATCTTGGTAATTTTATTTTTGACTTGTGTTTTGTACATAGTGTCCAATGAGACAATGGAGCATGTGACAGGAGTTTGGAGCCTGGCCTTACCTGCAATTCCTCCTCCCACTGCCTCTCTGCCTGCCCAGGACGAGTTCTTGGAACTCAAGGTTGCCCAGCAACATCTGTTGTCTACACTCCAGGAGAAAGGGTTGAAGATCCTGTGAGTCTTGGGCTGGGGCTTGTTGACTGCTATTCCTGCCCTGAGCTGGCAGTCACCACAACGAATTTGTCAGGTGCCTCTGTAAGAGTGATCCTCTCATCCAGCCATCTCCCCCAATCCAGGAGTGAGTACTGGTGTGGGAAAGAGATATGTCTTGCTTTATTTCTTCCCTCTCCCTGGAAGGACATGGCATTTTGGCCCAGTGGCTGGCAAATGGGAGAACCTAGCAGCAAATAGGCACACACGAAGGCATGGGGCATGAACTCACCTCATGAATATCCCTATGCCTGAAGGATTGGAACATTAGATAGCAAATTTTTAAAAGCTATGACAGGTCAAGAGAGATGAATCATAAAAGGAAGAAAAAAAGCTTTAATGATACTTGTGCCCAGTTTTTGAACAAGGAGCTCAGCATTTTAAATTTGCACTGGGTCTCACAAATTATGCAGCCAGTCCTGCTATTGAGGTAGTCCACCAACCAATTTTAGGTGGCAATCCAAGTGGCCTACTGGCAAGCTAAGACCATGTTAATAGAATTCTTAATTTGAGCATGGTGTGATGGCCAAAACCCTAACTAGGGGGGTCAGAAATCTGGATTTAAAATAACTCTGCAAACTACCTCACTCTGTAATCATGAAGAAGTCTCCTCACTCTCTGATGTTCAATTTTTTCATTAGTAAAATAAAAGGGTTATGTTTTGTGTGTTTTCCAAAGCCATCCAAATGTAAGAATTCTGCCTTTCTGTACATGTCTTATTACAAATGATTTTTGCTTTAGCAAGTAGGGTACAGTACAACAATTCTATTCTCTCTATATCACTGGTGCTCAATTGAGGGAATTTTGTCCCCCAGAGGATGTTTGGAAATATCTGGAGACATTTATGATGGCTGCACCTCAAGGGAAGAGAGTGTGCTATTGAATTCTGGTGTACAGGGGACAAGGATACTGCTAAACATCTTACAATGAACAGGGCAGCCCCCTACAACAAAGAATTATCCAATCCAAGGTGTCAAGTGCCAAGGCTAACAACCTCTGGCCTGTGAAAAGCATACTATCTCTTTGAATTCATATGGAAAATCCAACTTTTCCTCTAACAATGGATTTTGGCTTCATAATGTTAGGATCAAGGCTATGTGACAAAATCAAAACATGAAAGATGTTAACTAACATCGTTATTGAATTCTGGCATCTGGAAATGGGAACATATGTCTCCTGCAGTGTTTTGTTTGTCAAGATAGAAAGAGAATGATGAAGTGTTGTTATAAAAGTATCTCACACATAATGCATGGAGAAGCATAGAGATAACTGCTTTCTTGGGCTAATGATTAAGCAATTTTTCCACTGGTATACTTCGTTGTATTGGAGAAAAGTTAAAGGTGATAATTTCTTTAGAGACACAGTATTTTTACACAATAAATAGAGTGTTCTAACAAGGCTAGTCGTTACTATCACTAGTAACTTTGAGATGAATAAGGAAGACACTACTGGCTAACTCCGATAATTATTTATTCACTAACTCATTAATATATTCATTTATTCAATAAGTTTTAATTAATATCTTACCTTTTTCTATTCTTTCAGAGAATAAAGTGAATAGTAATAGCTTTAAAAATCTACATAGATCCTTACTTGTCGTCTAATAATTGCAGCAAGACACAAAATCACTAAACCAAATACGTAGCTAATAATGAGATAGCTATGAAGAAAGTATGGAGTAAGTGTCACAGGTTGTAAAACAAAAGAGAGCGAATTCTTTAGGTGTTCAAGGAAGAAAAAAGAAGTTGTTTCTGACTGGTGTGATCGGGAAGTCTTTATGATATTGGTGATTATCGACCTGGATTTTATTCATGAGGTAGAATTCGGATAGTGCCTTATCTGCCATATTGTGAAGGGAATGGCAATATCCAGGTGAAGAAGGTAAAAAATGCAAATACATTCTTAGAATCAGATTTCTGTAATGGAATGGTATATAGAGGGGACTTTTTTATTAGCGGTATCAGAAGCCCAACTCAAACTAATTAAGGCTAAAAGGATAGTTTATCTTAAGGATCCTGAGGTATCTCATGAAAACCAAGGAAAGAACTTAAAGAAAGGTAGAAAAATGAGCATGTGCGCAGAAAAACAAAACAAAACAAAACAAAAAAACAGAGACTAGAAGAGAAGAGTCCTTATTGAGTTCCAGACTCTGGTTCCAGTGATTTCTGAGACCTAGATGCATTTCCTATGAATCTCAAAAATGGACTGGGCCTTGCTTGGGTTTGGTGCCCACCCTAGATCAATCGACTCTGGTAAGAGGTGGAGATACATGTACTCACAACTCAGCACTCTCAGCTGCTATATAGATGGAGTTGAAGTGGGGTGGCAATTTCCAGAAGGGGTATATTTTGCTGGAATAATGGAGTATACTGGATGAAAGGTGTCCACCAGACATACATAGATGTTTCTACATTATTCCTATAACGTTATCCAATCATCTTTGAAATTAAATGACATTTCTTACATTTATAGAGTAATATATGCCAGAGAGTGTCTCACCTAAATTCCAAGAGTCTTATGAAAAATGTACTGCTATTACTACAAATCTTATAGATGAGCAAACCTAGTTTATACGAGATAAAAATAATTTGATCAAGGTAATATATAAATTTGATAAAGTAGAGAGCCATGATTCAAACACAGATACTCTGACTCAATGGTAACACAATACTGCCTCAAATATTTTTGTGAAATAGTTGTATGGCCAGCTTCATGGGCGTGTGATGAGTACAATCACATATGGTCATATGCTTAGAAGGGCCTCATACTTGGGATTTAATGCTCTGTGGTCCCTGGCTGAAATTCTTTATTTTTATATTTGAATTTGTGTTTTATAAGGGAAGTCAGATGTGACAATGAAGTGTGAGACAAAGGCTTAGAATTTTGGTTCATGTGAATCTCAGCATTCTACCTCCCTGCCTTCCTGTGAATATCCCTGTTCCTGGGGGTGTGTGACGTTCAATGGCAAATAAAAAGTACCATGGCAAGTTGTAAGAGAGACTATGGAATAAAGAAACAAAGCTGTATATTTTAGTATCTTTAACAGCACCCCATCACCTTGCTTTTTTAACAGAGTCCTGGATTTTCGTTTTGCATTAAGCCCTGAAAATTATGTAGCAAACCCTGAACAGTTGTTAGAAACATGATTTTATGCCCAAATAGAGTTTCTGTGATCCCAAAATAACTGCCTGTTAGAGAAAAAATACTGCCTGTATTCTAGCCATGTCAGATCACTATCCAAGAAACAAATACCTAACAACATCAGATACTATTAAGGCAGGTATGTTGGGCCCCATTACCTAACTATCCTAAAGTATCACAGCATAGTAATTTTGAGTGCAAATTCTAGAGCCAAATGGCTCAGTTGACAACCTAACCTTCTTTGATGTGTATCCTTGAGCAAGTTAGTTAGCATCTCTGTGTCTTAATTTCCTTATCTGCAAAATAAGTATGATGATAATAACAATAATACCTATTTTATAGAATTGTTATGAGGATGAAATAAATTGATATATATAAGATGCTTTGAATATTGCCTGATACTTAATACATACTTAGGAAATGTCTTTATTCTGAATTCTATGGACCCAGCATATGAGGATGACACTATAGCATGATTAATGAAGGTGATCACAGAGCTTGTGTCCAAAAAACTACTATTGACCTCAGCCCTGAACTTTTAAGTATATCTACAAGCTTACTAACAGTGTAAGTCATCCAGAAACTGTTTCTAATGCTTACTAAATTATGAAATAAAAGGTTCAAGATAATAAAATTTCATTCCATGAAAAACATAGATGGGGTACTGTGCAAAGCACATTTAATTTTGAAAAGTATTTTGATCCCAAGGAAAACATTTGAAATTAAGTTGAACTTCAGTAGCAAGTTCAGCACATGAGGTTTTTGTAATTGTATCTATTTAGTCTTGCAGCCTAACAGGCTGTGATTATAAATTCACACAGAAGATATTATTGCTTAAATAAAATTACACATGTAACTACTAGTGTAGTTCCTGACATAAATAAATGCTCAATAAATGATAGCTGTTAGTATTAATATTGAAATCTTTTGAAACCTCAGTGGCTAGGATGTAATTCAGTTCTCTGATCACTTGGGAGTGATTGAAACTAAAGCTCTTTTAAAGGATTTCACATCGTTCATTATGATGATGCATTTTATGGCCAAATAAATCAGTAGCTATTACCTTTTGGGGAAAAAGTGAGGAGAGGAATATTATGAGAAAGGTCACAGATGTGAATTTTATGGACAGTTTTATTAAAAATCCATTAGATGGCAACAGTAGTTCACAAAGTTGTTCTGCTATTTAACATTGTTACCTACAGGTGCTGAATGACAGTATAAAATCACAGAAGCATAGAATATAAGGTCTTCCAGAGCCTGTGAAAGCACAGAGCACCATAATTAGGCACATAGAAGGTACTCAAATGCTAGTATATTTGTCCTCTTCCAGTGAGATTGTATATCATCCAGCCCCTCAATTTTTAAATGAAGAAATGAGAGTGACTTGCCAAAGTTATGCAGGTTTATTTTTCTGGTTGAACAGTAATTAGAATGTCTAAAAAATGTCTCAGAAGACTCAGATGATGCTCTTCATTTTGAAATACACTGATGAACCCTGAGAGGAGAGCTTGGAATATAAAACAACATGAATAATGACAGCTTCCTCTCCTTCAACAGCAAAGCAAACAAAAGCAGCCTATACAACAACTTATAGAAATCCCACCCTTTGAAACAAAGACTCACCTATTGCTGCCCCTGCAACTCCCCCAACCCCTGCCAACTTTTCTCCAGTCTGTTAACCAATGTTCCTACAAGGAAATGTCTCAAATAATCACACACTCTCCTAGAGCTAAATGAGACTTTTATCCAACCATTTTCCCAAAGGCAGGAATTCCTTGTCTAGCATCTCTAACCGATGACTTTTACATTCTGGAGGCTAAAAATCCTCAGTTCTTTCAATAATTCTTTGTACAAAATTATTTTCTGAAACTTTTAAATGCACTGTAATTTATCAGAGTCAATACGGTTGTACCCAATTATGATAAATTGGATTATCAGTCTTGATTTTCCCCTCTATTGTTAATAAAATTGTACATCCACACACTTTGCCAGGTACATTTGTAGTATCCTCTCAACGTGCAGTGTATTCTTAGCCTTTTGACTCGATTTGTCCAATAAGAGATTAGTGAAAATAATGCCAATAGATGTTTAAAATGTATGTGCATGATTTGGCTTGTCAGGTTGCCCTTCTGTGATCCGTCATGAGAAATATACACTCTGATTAGTTCTGCTAGTCCAAGAAGAAGGAATATGAGGAAAATACTTAAATACAATTCATGGTATATCCAGGACTAATCAACTCGAAGTCCTAGTCAGAAGTTTACCAAATGATTCACAGACCCATAATAAGAAATACAATTTTTTAATTATAATTCGCTGTGTTTCTGCAATGCATTATTATATAGTATCATTTCAACAATAGCCAGTTAATAAACCAAGACCTTCAGTGGTTGACTACTGACAATAGCAGTAGAGTTGCTCAGAATCTAGATATGGTGTAGACTAATTAGTAGGTTTCTTCATTCTTTTTATTGAAAGCTTTTTTATTTTTCTTTTATGGAAGTCACTCTTGATGTGTGACAAACTTTAGTTTTACATTTTTCCTTTTGATAAATCACCATTATGTGAAACTTTAAGTGAGCTGAAAGGATTCTCCACTGAGCTCCTGACTTGCATAACTTGTTCTAATACTGGACAAAATGACAAGTTGCTCAAATGAAAATTTTCTGCAGAAGAGAAAGGTGGTTTTATAACATGGAGACTTTCCTCAAATCTACACTGAATCTTGCAAATGCTCCTTGAGAGAGTTTCTGTAGAAATTGGTTTCAATATTTTTCTTCTTCTTCTTTTTTTTTTACTTACATGCTGTAATTGTATTTTAGAACAAATTATATTTTCCAAACATCTATAAAATTCTTAACAATGGAACTGAGGGAAGATTTTTAAGGAAGGTTTGATGGCTGTGGGGGTTATAACCCTAAAGAGCCCAATTGTCAGAGGATCACAATTAGTCTTCTTTTTTTTCATTTATTTTTCAGCTGCAACTAGTTATGGGTCCCAAAAGTGCACCTGCACTTTGCCACTGAATATCCTTAAAAAAAAAGCAAGTGGCCAATTATGTTGGCAAGTGGCTAATTATGCACACCAGGAGCCAAGTTCAGAAGCAAAAATGTACACCCCAAAACAGGAAGACTTCTTTAACATGTTGAGTCTTAGGGTAACTTACACATACTGTGTGTTTATTACTTAATGAAGGAAGCAACAATCATGACCAGATATTAACAAACATTTGTTTATCTATGTATTTATACATGTAGGTATTTATGACTGTTTTCAATTAATCATTGTGCTACGAAGATACGGAGATAAACTGTTTTTGCCCTCAAGGAACTTAGAATTTTGCTGAGATAAGGTGTGTACACATGGAACAAAGACAATAAAGGCAGTATATTAGACGTTGGCTCTTTACAAAATATGTTTAAAATAAAATAAACCACAGTGTCCTAAATCAGCAGCTTTCAATGTCCGTTATTAGTAAGACTCGCACATTGCCCAAACCAATGTGTAGGTTTCTTTAGTATACAATATAACATAAAATTGGAAAGATCAAGAGAATTTCACGAGAGAGAGAGGAAGATGGAGCAGCCTCTTTATTTAATATTTATTTTTATTGCAACTTTTTCTACTTTTTTTATGCTCCAGAATTTATGGTTTTATAAAACTATAAGAAGACTGTGAAAGAGAAAACAACATTCTTATTTTATTTATTTTTATCTCCCCTTTTGATATTAAATACAGCCTATTTGCACTGCTGTTTAGAGGGTTTGAAAATATTTAGCATGTCAAATCTAGCACAGAACAAAAAAGGAACCACTTGAGAATCCATGGGCTACTTCTCATTTTTTAAAAAAAAGTCAAAACCAAATGTAGCTTTACTACTTGTCCCCTCGCTGATTTACTCTAAAATATTAATCAAGGTGACAACCAACCTATAATTGCAAACAGTTGCAAACAGTTCTTCTAAAGCTTTGGAGTTATTAGAGGATAGTCTATCATAAATTTTTTTTTTTTTTTTTTTTTTTTTTTGAGACAGAGTCTTGCTCTGTCTTCCAGGCTGGATTGCAGTGGCGGGATCTTGGCTCAGTGCAACCTCTGCTTCCCGGATTCATGTGATTCTCCTGCCTCAGCCTCCCAAGGAGCTGGAGTTATAGGCACCCACCACCACGCCCGGCCTAATTTGTGTATTTTTTAGTAGGGACGGGGTTTTACCATGTTGGCCAGGCTGGTCTCAAACTCCTCGCCTCAAGTGATCGGCCTACCTCAGCCTCCCACAGTGTTGGGATTACAGGCATGAGCCACCATGCCAGACCAGTCTATAGTACAATTCTGAATTGTCCCTGTAATTCTGTCCATAACCCCCAGTATCCAAAGGGGTTGTATTAGGATGACAGCACCAGGAGACTGTCTTAGCAACTGACTACTTCCCACCATTATTCCAATTTATTTGCTTTTCTTTTAAAATGTAAATAGGCCAGGGGAGATAGATGTTTTTAAAGACCTTAAAGGTGAGACAAGTATTTATTGAGCTGCTACTATTTACAAGTCATTGTTGTGGAAAAGAGGAAATGTAATGCAAAGCTTATGCTCTCAGTAAACTTAGCACACTGCTGTCATTCATATATTTAGCCTGAATTACTTTATTCATATGATAAGACATTTTTATTCTCAGAGTCTTTACAAAATTTTGATTATTAAGGGCTAGAGTGAAAGATTATATTGAAGCATTTCTGAGGAGGGAAGGCCTGGAAAGACATTTGGCATAGCCAGAGAGTGAATATGGAAAATGACAGGAGCATGATGGTCTTGAGTGGGGAGTTGGAAAAGAATGAAAGAGAAAGAAAGGAAGATAGTAAAAACAGACTTTTGAATACTATTTTAGCATGGCTTCTGTTTCTCCTAGACAATAGAGGGCATGACGATAGATCTGTTTGTCATGTTTCTATCTCTTCAAGTAAACTGTGAGGGCGGAGATTACCATTGTACCTCTAAGGCCTGTCCCAGTATCTGGTACATAGTAGACATTCAAGAAACATTTGTTGAATGGAAAAAAATGCAGGTATCTGTTCAAAATAGGTATAACTGCTGTTTTTGCATCTATTTCTACTTATATGTAAGTCAGTGGGGGCCATAGTCTTTTTTTTTTTCTTTTTTTTTTTTTTGAGATGGAATCTCACTCTGTCTCCCAGGCTGGAGTGCAGTGGTGCAATCTCAGCTCACTGCAACGTCCGGCTCCCAGGTTCAAGCGATTCTCCTGCCTCAACCTCCTGAATAGTTGGGACTACAGGCACGTGCCAACACGCCTGGTTAATTTTTTTGTACTTTTAGTAGAGACGGGGTTTCACCATTTTAGCCAGGATGGTCTCGATCTCCTGACCTCGTGATCCACCCACCTCGGTCTCCCAAAGTGCTGGGATTACAGGTATGAGCCACTGTGCCTGGCCATAGTCTTAAACTGTTCCCACATTAGGCAAATTAAGCTAATAACACAACTTGTCCAAGCAATATCTAGTTTTAATTGTCTCTTTTCCATAGGTGATTTGAGAAGGAGCATGAACTGTCCAGTTCGCCTCAGTCATTGCTCCTCCCTACTATCTAATGCCTGGTCTATGCCACTCCCTGAAATTACTTTTTCTGGCCTAAAGGCATTTGAAATTGTAAGCCTGTAAAATATACTTTTGTTCCCACCTCAGCTCTTTGCTCTAGAGTTGTTCTTATCTGTCTTGCCCCCATTTCTGTCCATTCCCTCCATATCAATGCTCTCCTATCATTTATTTAAAAAAGTTATTTGATGACTTACTATGAACTAGATCCTGTGGTAGGTACTACTGTAATGAATAAAAGATACATTCTCTGTCCTGGGAGAGCTCACAGTATAGTTGGGGAGACTGACTAGTAAATAACCTCTTATGACACACTTTGATTAGAATTATGACTAGCATTCTATAAGAATGTATAGCTACTCATTAACTTTATCTGTTTCATTTTCCTGTTTAACTATTTCTTTTCTTTCCCCTTTTTTCTTTCTTATTTCTTTGGAAATAAGAACTATTTTGAAGACAGGAATTAGATAAGTTGGGTCATAATTTCTGCTCATTCAGAATGAGAGAAAATAAACCATCTAGACATTTATTCATTCTTGCCAAATAACATAATGAAAAGCACCTAGAATTTGGAATATAACATAGGTATGAATTATTATTCTGTCAGTGAATAATTTATATAAATGACTAAAACTTTCTAAAACTCAGTTTTCTAATTTGTAAACTGAGGATAATGGAACCTGTCTTAGATTTGGATTGTTAAAGGATTCAACATGATATATGCAAAGCATGTTACACAGTGCCTAACACTTAGTAGGTAATCATTATTAATAGCTCTTGTTATTCATTCTTTCAGTATATTGAGTACTTATTTTATGTCAGGCATGTCTCTAGTTTCTGAGGAAATAATTCCCAGTCCCTGTCTTCAGAGATTAGAACTCTAGCAGTGACTGTATTCCAAGACAGATAACTGAAATCATTGTTTTAGCACTTGATCATAAGATGAAAATAATTATGTAAAAAATAGTAGATTGTATTTACTTAATTTTTATAACTTACTAAATTTTGTAATGTTTGTGCTTTCCAATCAACAATTTCATGTAGAACCTTTAATTTTCTTAAATTGTAGATATAACACCAATAGATTTTGGAAATCCTCATCTTTTTAGGGTTTGATTATCATCATAGGTCCCAGGTCCTGGTACTTTCTAATTTTTAATTCATTACTTCCTTTCTAGATCCTCAAAACTTAGGATACCCCATTATGTGACCACACACACACACACACACACACACACACACACACACACACAGAGGGGTGATATACCTGTTTGTGGAGGTAGCACTTGCTGTAGGGAATCATTGTAGTACAGTGGTGAAGAGTACAGATTCTAGAGCCAGATGTCTAACTTGAAAACTCACTCTAGTATTTATTAGTTATAAAATCTTATAAATTTAACACAACGTCTCTGATCTAAATTTCCCCATCTGCAAAATGAGCAAGGAAATAATTTCCATATTTTAGAGTTATAATGAGGATTAAATTAGCTAATATATATAAAATACTTAGGATGATGGTGCATAACAAGTGCTATATAAGTGCTAGCTATTACTGTTGATTATGCCAGAAACATAAGGTAAGAGTGACTTCATTAAAGCCACACCTTTCTGATAAATATCTGATATCAAAATAGAGAATATAAGAATCTTTGTTGCAATTACTCTTAATTGGAGGGCAGGTGGGCTTGTGCGACAGGGGAAGAAAAAGGTTGGCATTCTTTTTTTCAGTGGGAACAATACTAAGAGTATATTTGATCCAGTAATGATGAGTAGATCCAATGAGGGAATGGGTCTTTCACTTGAGAAGGCAGGAGAGAGGAAGAATGCTTTACGTGATCGTCAGGCTTTGATAGGGTTTTATAGGGCTAGGGGAGCCAAGAGCAACTGCAACAAACCCAGAGATAAGTAGCCAAGATTAATTTTACCCTCTCCAAAATGTTTCTCAGAGGAACATAGAGGCCTTTAGTATGAAAATGTTGTTATTTATTCATTCCACATACTGAGTATTGTTGTATTAGAATGAAGTGTCTAGACTTGGAAGGACTTCAGAAAACCACTATGTGTTAAAATTAGGTCATTATGATAGTCATGGATTCATTTTTCTTTTCTTTCCAAATTTAGTGGCTGCCTTCTCCAAATCTGTTGAAAATAGGAAAGAATAATTCATATAATTTTAAATCAGCTTAGAATGTTACCTTTCAAATGAAATTATGTTTTAACCACTAGGTCTTTAATTGTGTTAGGTGTTCAGTCTTCAATTTTTTCACAACTGAAAGAGTACAGCAAAAAAAAAAAAGATTCTCAAAATTATATAATTGTAAATGTGGGTGTCGTCAAATTGCTAACATATTTTTCATTAGCTTTACATTATACAGATCACTGTTCCAAATACCCTAAAATACCCCTTTATTCCTCTCTGGTAGAAGAAAGTACAATTACAATAAAAGTATCCAATTGTTTTTGCTAGGATTTTTAGTAATACTAGGAAATGTTAATAATTTTTACATTTAAAACAAAAAGCAGATTAATGTATTTATTTATTTATTTAGTTTGAGACAAAGTCTCACTCTGTGGCTCAGGCTGGAGTGCAGTGGGGCAATCTTGGCTCACTGCATTCTCAGCCTTCTGGGTTCAAGAGATTCTCGTGCCTAAGAATCTCGAGTAGCTGGTACTACAGGCATGCGTCACCACGCCTGGCTAATTTTTATATTATTTGCAGAGATGGGGTTTTGCCATGTTGGCAAGGCTGGTCTCGAACTCCTGACTGCAGGTGATCCACCCGCCTTGGCCTCCCAAAGGATTAATGTATTTTAATCAAGGATCGTATGCCTGCAGCTAACATCTAGCAGTCTGTGTGATTTATACCAAGATATTTTAGCTTTTCTTATAGGAGACATTCTAAGTACAGTTAATTTGGATAAGCATAGTATATAAAAGGCAATTTTTCTTTCATTGTAATAAGGCCTAACAGTTGACCTAATGACAAGACCAAAACAGTATGTTTTTATATAACATATAATTATGCTATGAAACTCTAGATACTTCAAGGTATTATCCAGGAAAATAATAATACATTTCAAATTTAAAGCAGATGTAGAAATAATAGTACGTGCATCATCATTGGCTACCTAAAAATGAAGTCACATCAATTATTGGTCTTTGGCTAGAAAGGTTAGAAAGGAGTCAGCTGATTTATAGTTATGGATTTATGGGGTTCAAATGTCCCTCATCTTTTTCCAAAGCATGAATGGTAAGTTATCACGCTAAGTACTAGACTTTTAAATTGAGTTTCTTAACAATTATTTAATAACTCCTGTTTCCACCCTAATGAGTGGTTTAGGTTGACACCATTTTCTGTTTTTCTTGCAGTTATTGTCATGGGAACAAATTAATACATATTATGCCATTTTGTATTCTCATTACAAATTTTGTCTTGCGAATGAAATTAGTTTTACCCACTTCTTTCTTGTTGCAATGTTTATGACCAGAACAAGATACAACAGTTTTAATGCCCAGTGCAGTCTGTGAAAGACTATAAACATTTAATAGACTCATAAACATAGACTTTAACCTTTTCAATATTCTGCATTTTGATTGGCTGTTCATACTGCTTTATCTCTACAGGTTATTGAGAGTGTAAACAGGAAGGAATGGATAGTGAATCATATTGCACAAGCCCTGAAAAGGTCAAAGTTGTGCAGTTGCTTATTCTCTTCCCTAGAATATTTAACAATTTCAAATATTCAATATATTTCAAATATTCTAAGAAAGGGAATAAGCAACTGCACAACTTTCAGGGAAGCCTTCTTGGATTTAAGTTAGAAATAGGTATAGAAATAAGAAATATGAATCTTTTTTTATAAGTGATGGTGAACACAAAGGAGATAGGAATTTCTATGTTATTGTAGTGGAGTCACTTTTCAATTTTCTTCGTTAATGGGAATAAGACATAGTAGTTATTTATAAAGGTTAAGCTGGGATAAGAGTGTTACTTGCTTATGGTTTAGCTTGGAAAACCCATAGATATCCCTGTACACCAGCAATTTTCAATCTTGGTGCGACAACAAACTATTGTGTTTCAATATGTTGTGGGGTGCATCAAAAAGAGTGTGTTGCTAATGGTAGTTGCAGTACCGAAGTGTGAGACTTATGTGCCTTGTTAAAAAATAAATAAAATCAGGCCGGACACGGTGGCTCACACCTGTAATCCCAGCACTTTGGGAGGCTGAGGCGGGCGGATCACTTGAGGCCAGGATTTCAAGACCATCCTGGTTAAAATGGAGAAAATCCATCTCTACTAAAAATACAAAAAAAAAAAAACCACATGTGGCAATGTGTGCCTGTGATCCCAGCTACCCAGGAGGCTTGAGTATGGGAGGTGGAGGTTGCAGTAGGCAGAGATCTCACCACTGCACTCCAGATAGGGTGACAGAGCAAGACTCTGCCTCCAAAGAAAAGGAAAAAAAAGTCAGAACAGATTCAAGGTTTTTCTTGATGATATAGCACTCGTAAGGTCCTACATTACAGTTAATGTCCAGGGAATTGCACATAATGCTGGGGGAAAAAAAGTATGTTGCTCATATAAGGGTCAATTGTCATGCGTGTTAAAATGGGGAAAAAAAGATGTTGTGAAGCACTACAGTAGTCAATAATGAAGAGGAAACTTCCTCTCCACTCTGTTTAAATGAACTTCAACCATATTGCAATTTTATGCATAATACAGAACATAGAATAGGAGGAGAAACAAACAGAGCAATAAGAGCTAATATCAAGTGAGCACTTTATGTCAGGCACCAAGGTAAGCGTTTTGTGTGATTATATTATTAAATTTTACAACAACCTTATTAGATAGGTGCAATTATTATTCCCATTTTATAGGCAGAAAGACTGAGATACAGATGTTAAAGGACTTGCTCATTCTCCCACAGCTAGATAGGCTGCAAACCTAGAATTCAAACTCAAATCAAAATCCAGACTATAAAAATAAATCCCCAAAAGCAATACCGATTTCAAAATTCTGGTATATGGTAAGTGCTCAATAAATGTTTGTTGAATTAATGAATGGTTCTGAAATTATTAAACTCATATTTCCACAAGGGATTCCATACCTAGTTTTTGAGGGGTTATTCCTCAGGCACTCATTTAATTGGGGTGCCAGTCCCTGGGTTGGTATTGTGGCTGATATTGTAGGCAGTTACCTCAGCTAGGACAAGAAATCAATCAGAAAGCATTCCAGGTGTATGATCAGGATTTCTAGTGTCCCAGTGTGGGATTGAGGGCTCTGTAGGTGCCAGAGACAGGAGCTTATTGAAAGTTCAAGAAAAACTCAGAAGAGCCTGGTTTTATTCAGACACTGCTTCACCCAAAACTTTCCCCCACAACAAAAAAAGAAAATCAAAAACAGAAAAATGAAAGGTCAACATTTATTGTCATGAAAATTACTGAATGTTAGATAAATAATTTGAGTTAGCGTTTATTTAATTGTTAAACCTGTGCTTTGAAGTTTTTAATTGAAAATTTTTTAGAGGTAATTGTAGATCTACAGAAAGTTTTAAGGCTAGTACAGAAACACCCATGTGCCCTTTACCTAGTATCTCCCAATAGTAACATATTGCAAAACTATAGTACAATATCACAACCAAAATATTGATGGACATAAATACATCTGGGTTAAGCCTGACAAACTCAAAATGCATTCGTTCAGTCTTTTAGGATCCTGTTGGAGCATTGCTCACTATTTCACTGATGCAACTCTACCCGAGTTCATCTCTGTTCCCTGAAGAGCATGACTGATACAGTAGCAGTCTGTCCTGAAAAGCTTAGTGAGGCAGACAGCGTTTTCATGAGATTGTCTACTGTATTTCTAGTCCTTTCCCCTAAGATAAGCATGCTCCTGTCTCTCATTACTCTGTGTTAAGAGTGCAAATGCAGGCCCATTCAGAATGATTTTCTTATTCCTCTCTGATTATGTCTTTTATCAGTGTTAGGGAACATATTTCACGCTGAGCATATTTTCCACAAAATAATTGGAAATTTTGAAATAGCGCTGCAAGCTTTGCTTTGTAGAATGCATTTCAAAAAGGGAAAAATACATAAAGAAAAGAAAACAAGCACAGAATGCATTCCATGCTTAATGAGTTTTTGTTAGAGATTTAGGTTTCTTCAAGCTCTGAATATCATCCTAACAAGTCAACTAAATAGTCATACTTTAAACATCAATGCCTTTTCCCCATAGGTTGCTGAATTCATAGAAATGAATCCATACATTACTAGTCAATGGAGAAATGTACTACCAAAAATCTCAATGAGGCCGACTTTTAGCTGGGGACAATTTGGTTACAAAAAACTGTTACCAATCTGGTGGATGTTTTTAGTTTCCTTACTTGTTTTAAATCACAATACCCGTAATTTTTCAAACAGGGATTTCTAGTCTAGAAATGTATTTTTTCATGCTTCTCTTTGCCTATTGTTCTTACCATGTTATAAATCAGATGGAATGAAGTCCACAGTGGAGCAGAACCATCAAACAGAACCTCCTTGCTTTGCAGTCTGATTCCTAGCACCTGCTGCTGAGTCTTTCCCTCCTCCTTAACTCAAGTACTAACTTAACTCATGTAACTAGTTACAGAATTGTGAGACACACACAAAATCTCTAATTAGAAAAGGACTGAAAATTAGGGGAGGTGAATATTTCACATTGCTCAGGTTACCTGCCATTAATTCCCAGTTTTCCAATGGGAAGCAGAGGAATAGAAGGTGACTTTTAGAAGCTTGCAGTGTGTTTATTCTTCAACATTTTATCCCTTTAAAAACATTTTCTTAGAGGCCAGGCTCGGTAGTTTATTCCTATAATCCCAACACTTTGGGATGCTGAGATGAGAGGATCATTTGAGGCCTGTAGTCCCAGCTACTCAGGAGGCTAAAATGGGAAGAATCACTTGAGCCCCGGAGGTCTAGGGTGTAGTGATCCATGATCACCCCACTGCACTTCAGTCTGGACAACAAAGTTAGAGCTTGTCTCAAAACAAAAAATACCTTACAAAAGTCATTCAAGCTCAACAGAGCTAAATTCAGTTATAGGAATTTTCAAATTAACACTTTTATTGTCTAGACATATAAATCAACTAATAATTGCATCTACCTGGGTTTCAACAAGGATGCACAATATTATTAAAATAGCACAAATAAATGCTATGTTTGGGTATGAATGTGTATTATTAAAAAAGGAACAATAAAAATAGAGAGTAGTGGCATCCACATTGATAATAGTACATATCTCTAGCACTCCTTTATTTAACAGTTAGTTATGTACATTTCTTATTCTTATCTTACCGCAGGTATTGTTAGCCCTTTGAAGCAAGCTCCTTGCCTTACTCCACATGCTTCACATGCCACTTTAACAAAGCAGGCACTCAATAAATTTTTGTTGAATTGAATATTGTTGCCATTTTTATTCTGCAACTTATATATGAAATCTGAACATATTTATTCAGCAGAACCTGCTGGGTTTTGAAATTCATATGTTTGTATGTGGGAAAGTAGAGAAAAGCTTTAAGCTGTTATTTATGCTGCTCCATTCTTGTCACTTTTTAATTTGACACTGAACTTTGAGTGGGCGCTGCAAAATTCTGACAGCCAGAGGCATGAAACAGGGTTAGGACATGCAAAGAGTTTTAGAGCAACACATATATTCCAGCGAATATTCAATATCATCACAGCTAGTTTGATTCTTGATATGTTTTTCAAAACATTTTTTAAAATGGTTGCATACTCTCGGGGGTAATGGTAATATAATTTAAACTTATTTTGCTATAGAGGAGTCACCATTTGTATCACATATCTCATTGTCATAGGTGTTAAAAATGAGCCAAAAGATAAGTTGGTCTCTATTAAACTCTTAAGAGTCTCTGACCTGAGAGTCCTGTTTTAACTTAATTTACTTAAAACTAACCACCCCCTCCCCCACAATCTGAACAGCTTGGTCATTTTTACAAAATACAGACTGAAATATAGATAGGCGGTAGCATACACACACACACACGCAAATGAGAGTCTGTGATTTTCAAATTGGCTATTTTGTCATTACGTTTTTCACAAATGCTTACAACAATTTTAATTTACAATATCACATATCTTAAAGGCACAATTACCTTTGAGTATTGTTGGTCTTTCAGTTACCAAAATACTTGTTTTTCTCCAGAAGACTCAAAGACAACTTTAATCAATAATTTTCAAATGTTTTTGTGTTCACTTTATTTGCCTATTATCTCTTATATGATACGAGTTGAAAATGTTGGACTTGATTTGTTTGAGATGTGAGTACAAGCACTTTCATACTCTCACACAGCAATGAATGAGACCCATGGCATATACTGCTCTTTAGTTGTGCACAGGATGCCTATTGATATTAATGATCTTTTTGCCTGGTCTTAGTGTGATCATTTTGTGTGGCCTGAAGTGGTCATTTTGTTGTGCTTTGCATATTGATTGTTGCAAAGTATAGTGTGCACATCATTTCCAAATTGCCTAGGAATCTTTAGGGAGGAAAGACAGTATGTAAATTTAAAAGATTATTATTGCCTTTAACTTAAATTTTTCTATTGTGAGTTCTCAAAATCATGCATAAAGGAACACAGTAATACAAAGTGCAAATAATTGTGCAGAGAAAGCTCTAGAAAATAAAAAGATTTCAAGTCAGCAATTTTGAAATTACTTGTTTAGACATAACTTTAATCCATTGAAAACAAAGCTAGTTAGTTTTCTAATTCAATCGAAAACATCATAGTAGGACATGCAGAAGCAGATCATTAAGGAGTAGAAGAGACTATAGGACTGTATTTTATCAGTTGATTTTCCACTGTAGATGAGAGGCTGGAGCTCTCAGTGTAGGCAGCAGATCCTTTGTCTTGCAATCCTTTCTACACTAACTTCCTTTACCTGCCCTGAGGAGGCTGCTGGGGAGCATCTATAGAGCCAATATTGCCTACTTCTCCATGGACAGTGATGGGGGGAAGACTCAGGGCACATGAAATAACTACCTTAAAAATTACTTTGTTTTCACTTTTAGTATAAAATCTGGAGGAGTTAAAGTATTGTCACCCAGGAAATAACATGGAAAATGAAGGTGATTAATACAAGTATGTTTATCTAGAATTTCAAACACTCTTACTCCAGTGAAAGGCTCAGAATTCAGAATTTCAGGTTAAACACACTCAACTCCTCTCTTATGGTGAGAGAAATTCATTTGTAGAGAACTACTGTCCACTGGGGAGCAAGTCAAACCCTATTGCTTAGAAGTGGCTGCTGTACACTGTTCTGAACAGACGTAGTCCCTGATTATGCCAATATAGTTCACAAATATGATTTTTTTTCTGCTTAATTTCTACACCACTAGAGGTTTGAGAGATACTTCTGCCTTTGATTCAGATCTTTTCTATATGCATGTATACATATGCTCTTGTGGTAATACATTTTATAGAAAAAAATGACATTAATTAAACATGAATACTACCAGTACCATGACAGGTAGAGTATGAATAGCAAATCATGAAGAAAAATACTATTCCTCTCTGCAAGACATCCACTCAGATAGCCATTTCTGCAACTTGGAATTACATGCCATTTGAAGACCAACGAACTACTGCCGCTGGTCCATAGCCTTCTATTTTCTGTGCTTTAAAAATATGATGTCTAGCAGTGATCTTTGCAGGTGGTATGGGTATGTGTGTGGTTTTCTGTGCTCAGATTGCAAGAATTATGGTAGAGGAAAATCTCTTACCAAATGTAAATTATGTGTAAAAACCTCTTTTTAATATTGGTCTGCTGGTGGGGGGTTGCTAACATCCACTTTACAAGCTTTACACTATACATTTATAGCAGGCTTTTCCATGTCTGTGAAAAGGGGTCAGGGTAAGGGCTGGTCTCCAGTCTGGCCAAATGTGAGAGTTAATCAGCTACATTAGAATGGGATTCTACAGTATGTGAAAAATAACTAAGGAAGATGAGAAGTAATCAATATTAAAAATGTTTAGATGGTGCCCTTTCTCCCAAGAAGCAATGCTGATATAATAGAAATTGCTACAAAATGCCAACACAAACAGTAATTCTGTATGTATCAGAGTTGGAGAAAGAATCACTCAAACTAGGTTTGAGACATTACATAGATAAAACAGAGTTTGACAGAGAGATTTTTTTCTCTTTTCAGTTGACTGCACCAGAATGGTGTGGACACAGCTTGACTAGGAAGACAGATGAAAAGACAAACTTAATAAATTGGTCAATGAGTTGATCTCTTCCTTTTTGGTCTCTGAGGGACAGTCTGCTTTTTGTTAAATCATAGTGTCTGTGTGCAAGTGCAGGGGTGGGGTGGTAGGGTTTGAGGGGAAGGAAAAGGAATGCATTTATGACTGTGGGTATGTGTCTACACAATATACTTGTATTAAATACTGTAGAATTTCAGCCGAAAGCAAGCTGTCCTGAGATTCCCTCCCTTCAAGGATGAGTGCACTTCATAATAAGGCCCTTTTGGTAGTTGAATAAACACCCGCCTTGGAAGCCATATAAGATGAACCTTATACCAAATGCTCCTGATAACAAATAGTGTTGTAAAGAGAATCCAGTCTTCTATCTAGTTAATTAAATAATGTGTGAAGTGTGAATAGGTGTAGTTCCATTCTCATGTTGATGAAAGAAAGCATAGTAAGGCAATGCATTTTTTACTGGAATGCACAAATGTTTAATTTTGTGGATTTGGTTTACAGGAACAGTAGTCTAGATTCTTGTTTCTACCCCTTCTTAGAGATTGCAGAAATTAACTAAATTTTGTTTTCAAGACTGTATTCTTTTAACTAATCCCCTAGTTTGGGAAATGCTGCACCAGCAGTGCTCTTAAGAAAAGATACTTTTATGTTAGAAAAAAGCCTTAATTGGTTTCAAATATATTTTATATTCACTGTTCTTAATGCTTTAAAAACCAATATCAGTAGGTGAATAAGCTGGGGGATTACTATTTTAAAACTGCTATCAGGGGCATGTATAAAGAATGTCTACTCTTTTATTTTACAGAATGGATGAGTGTGAGTGACATCAATTCTAATGGCACTGTGCTGCATTGTTACTTTTTATTCCTTTCAAGACTTTTTTTGAAAGGGTCACATGTTTGGATTTTTAAGTACTTAGTCACAGAAAAAATTTCCACAATTCTGAAGTTCCATATGTGTCTTTAACAATATCTGACAGGTGGGAAAATACGTTATTCTCTTTGGAAAACTGAACTGTTTAACCTGTAACCATTTTCTACTTCTCCATTCTCCTCTTTCTTCTCCTCCCCACTTCCCCCACCGCCAAAAATTTTTTTTTAAATAAAACCAGAAATGTATATTTCTACTTTTAGCCTACAGACAATTAACACAACAGCAGCCTGATTTGGGAGCAAGAGAAATATGGGAATGCTAAATACTTCCAAGGGAATAGTCTTTGATTTTATTAAAGAGAAGCACACTTCCTATACTAATTTAAGCATATTTCCCCTTACCCTTTTCTTTTAAAGGTAAGAAACAAATTTCCAGGGATAACATTCATTTTCTTATTTTATTGTCCAAAATATAAATGCTTGATTTTTGTAATCTATTTCCCTTTTGTTATGCATGCAGAGAGCCACAGCCATTTAGACAACCAAGGTATGTTTATATGCAAATATATAGTTGATTTGCATATTTGACTTTGTTTACACATCTGTAACACCTGTATATTCACTCTTTTCACATCCTACCTCCCTCCACAACCTCTGCATTTTCTATTGTTCTGATCTGGTGAAGGAGAGGGAACTTTTTTGCTTTTACCCATTAGATATGATTTACTGTTGTTGTTCTTTGGAACCTACCAATTCTTATTTCATGAGAAAGAGAGCTACTGTTGTGAAGGCCTGAGAAAAACTGAAGACAAAGCCACTTTTTTTTTTTTTTTTTACAAAGGCCTTGGTTTGAAGCAGGATTAGCAGCAACTCAAGATAAAGGAAGCCCCAGGCAGAAACACCAACATCTCCCGATTTTTAGTGAAAATATGTTCATGTTGCAAAAATGTTGATCAGAAAAACCAGTTAGGACTTGATTATATTTCAGGAGAAAGAAAAGGAGCAGTAAAGAAAACAAATCTGAAAATACATATAAAAATATGAGTAATGTATATTAATAAAAGTACTGATGATAGTGATAAATGTGTATATATATTTTTGTATCTCCTAAAATATCTACAAAAGGTTCCATTAAAGAGTTCAGGATACATTGAAAGTTGATATTTGTGCAGTTTTGTGAGAAAAGCTATAACTTTTTAACCAATTCTAATTTTTATAGTATATTGAAAGAGAAGCAAGTTAGTTGGTATGAACTGAAAGAGAACCAAGAGGCTTAAAACTTTGAGTTTTGTGCCTGTACATATACCTGTATAGAATAAATATTATTTATAAAGAGTGATATGCCCATGACTATACACACAGCATGTGCCGTATTTCATACACAACAATCGTGTGTGATGCACCATGGAGCTGTAAATTATTAGGCACTTTGAAAAATACAAGACATCATATGCTGTAATCATTACCTATTCAAATGATTAAATCATTTTGGGTCCTCTAACAAAAACACCTACTTCAGACTATGAATTGAGGGGGGTTTACTGCTGGGAAATTATTGAATGTCCTGTTCATTGCTTCATATGCATCTACCAAAAAAAGTTGAATAAGGCATGCCTGTACATACAAAACATTAAAACAGAACTGGTTCAGATTTGGTAATTTACTCCTCAACTATCACTAAAGGTAACAGTCACTTATTTTATGGAGGGTCTTGTGAAATAAAATAAAACAAATGAAATTGTGTATGGGAGTGGGAAGAAGAGTGTAATCAAACTCCCACCCCCAAAATATCTCCTTGTATTATGTTTTCCTTCCCCCCATACTCAGATAGGAATGGACAGAGTTCAGCATTGTTGGGATAAACAGTTTACCTGCGTTTCTGGGCCTAGGAAGAGCCTTAAGAGGGAGAGTGCTTCTCCTTACCTATTATCATCCTCCCATCCCTCCTCAGGGGAATGAGGGATCAGGTACCAAAAGGGAACCTAACAGAATGGAGAGGAAGAAGAAGGATGGGTGCAGTGAGGCGAAATGACAGCCTTATAGAAGATCTGAGCTCAGTTTCAGGAGAGGCAGGTTTGGAGAAAGGTCTATCTGCTGGCAGAGAGAGAGAGAGAAAGCGAGAGCGAGCGAGCGAGAGAGAGAGACTCTCTTTTTGGAGAACATTAGTAAGGTTGCACCTCCTAAAATAAAACCCACCTCGAGCCTTCCCTATGCGGGTTCCCACAATTTGTGCTGTGCTTTGCGTGAGCGTGGGCTCCAGAATAGGCCGTGCCGTGTGCGCCAGTGTATTTCAGAGCTGAGCTGAAAGGCCGAAAGTCAGAGGAAGGGAATCAAGAGTCAAAACAATGACTAATGATTTATAAGCTGAAGCAAAGCAGAAGTGCTGTTCACCCGGAATGTGCCTCTGTTTAAACGCTCCACCTCACACAGCACACAATAAGACCAGGAGAAGAAAACTTTTTTTTTGGAAAAATGTTTTATTTAAACCTTTTTAATCTTTTACAACAATAAAATATTGCGTCAATATAAACCCCTTGACTAAAACTTCACATCAAACATTACAGCGAATTGTTTTCTTTTTGACATCCAACTTATCTGTGAAAGAATTTCCTTTTAAACACAATGCAGAATTTATTGAAAATAAATAATTGTTGGCAACTGCAATAGGCAATTTGAATAAAATAGTTGAAAAAGCAACTCTTAATGAAAATAGCGTTTATTATACATCAGTTACTAAATGAATAAACTAAATGATCTTTCTTTAAATTAATAACTTCAAAAACGTTTAATATACAAAACTGTACAGTTATAAAGTCGGCAGAAATATTTGGGTTAACTCAGGTTCGAACCATAGCAATTAACTGCAAAGAAAAAAAATCGAAACAAACAAAAAACTCCCAACAGTTGTAAAACATGAACTCAGTGTGGGGGAAAAAAAAATAAAATCCCAGAACTAAAACCTAACTACCAACAGAATGCAGAGACTTGACAAAAAAGTAGAAGGGTCCGGGATTTGAATTAACACATGCTCTTCGACCTGCAGCTGAGGGAGACACAGTGTGGTGGACCAGAGGCCTGGCAACTCATACTAACGCATCCTCGACAACCGGGCCGGGCTTTCTGGTCCTTAGGTAGTTTGAAGCTTTGTCTACAGCAGCTGCGCCTAAAGGCCGGACTAGGCGGCCAGCAGTGGCGTGCAGCGCCCCCAGCCAGGTCTGGCCGGCGGCGGCTGGGTGTTGGGTGCTTGGCCGGCCTCACACGTGTGTGCTCCTTGGGAATGAGGTTCGCCTGTGGACCTGGTGTGTGGATACTAGCTAGCAATAAAGCCACAGCAACTGCATATTTTTGGGATCTCTACACAGCCTAGCCAGGTTTTTTTTTTTTTTTGTACTTTTTGTTTTTGTACATAGTAACGCGATACACACAGCTATCTACACACACACGTTTGCACGCGCACGCACACACACACACGCACAGAGACACATACACACAGAGATTTAAAAATATATATATATTTATATTTTAAAAAGCAGGAACCCAGCCTCCCGGGCGCTCGCTAGCTCGCTGGATCGTCGCTGTGGGCTTCCACCAGCTGTGCTTATCAGAAACGCCGAGACAGCTCCCCACGAGCCCACACACAGACAGCGGTATATACATGGGGGGAGAGGTGGTACGCGGATGGACCAGAATCCCTGTGACCTTTGCCAATCATTTCATTGCCGTTCTGCACTGAGCAGAGAATGCCTATCCCCCACTCCCTCGCCACCCCTCCCCAAGGGTTTCTTACTCAGAGGGGGCGGTGAACTGGAGGTGAACCGAAATGGGAGGCGCTGGCCCAGTCGCCAGCGTCTCCGGGTCGTGATCTCCAGTGAAAGTAATCGCGTGTGAAGGCAAAGTCTTTCCTCTAGGAGGGCCGAAGTGAGGTCGCGCGGAAGGTCGCCCTAGCGAGGCTGGGGGCCTGGATTTCTGCGCGCAGGAATCCTGGAGTCCGGTGAGTGCGGAGCCCTCCCAGACTGTCAGGCCACCTCTTTGGCCCAGAGTTGCCGCCGAATCCTTCTCAGATACCTCGATCTATGCTGCGGTAGCCTGCGCGGGCTCCACACTTCCAGGAGGGAGGGCAGAAAGCTGCGAAATCGCCGCTGCTACTTCGCACTAGTTTGCAAACCTAATAGGCTTCCCTATTCTGCCCTTCCTAGGCACTCCACCCCGGAAAAAAAATATAACCAATATCATCATCAATAACTCTCTTCGTTGTATCCTCTCCTCCTCATAGAGATTTGGGAAGGGGGGGGGCGGTGAGTAGATAGGCATCTCTCTCCCCGCCTATTCCCATTCATCTCCTCCCTTTTCTAAGCAATTAAAAAGCCATCAGCTCAACGAAGTAGTAATAATAATAGCAATAATAACATGGAGTGGTCGATTAGATACAAATTATCTCACAAATATTGTGTACAGATTGTAGTAAAACACCGCAGACATTTAGAAACGCTATAGAAGTTTTTAAAAATGCAAAACTAGTCTATTGTAAAACAAATTTCACCTGAAATACAGCTGCTATAACCAAGGCGCTGAAAGGTTATTCAGAGGCACACATCTGTCTTCCCAATCCCTCCCCCGCCCCACCCCGCCCCCACGTTATCCCACTCCTTGTTCTTCCTAGAGAGGAGCGACCAAACAAACCTTACTCTGAGTAAACAATATGTATTGATCAGCAGAAAAGGCTAAAGGGAACTGTTGCCCGGGGAGCCAGGAATATGAGATCCCAGCTTGGACTGCTTAATGTAACTGTGTATCAGCATTGAGAAGCCTGAATGAGAGAGTATGTGTTTCCTTTGTCAACAGAAGTTAGAACCTCTTATGAAAAGGAAAGAAAAGGGAAAAAAAGGAAAGGAAAGCAAAAGAAAAGAAAGGAAAGGAAAGGAAGAGATGGAAGGGAAGGGAAGGGAAGGGGAAAGGAAAGAAAATGAAAGGAAAGGAAAGGGAAAAAGAAGGGAAAGAAAAAGGGGAAAGGAAAGAAAAAGGAAAGGAGGGAAAAGAGAGAGAGTACGAGAGAGCGAGCGAACGAGAGAGAGAGAAAAATAATAAAGAATACTAGAATGAAAGGAAGAGAGTGAGAGAGAAAGAGAAATCCGCGCTGCTCCCAGTGCGGCCGGCCGCCTCCTCGCTTCCTCCAGTCAGAGATCATGGCAAGATGTGTCTGTTTTCACGGTGTGCGAATAAACCTCATGCGGCTGCTGATCCCCTGGCGGAGTCATTCTTTTCTCTTTTTGTCTTCGATTACAGAACCAGACACGCACCACTTCCTTCTCCAACTGGAGGCTGTCTGCCAGCGAGGAGATCTCCTGCGCGGCAGGCTTGGGACACTTGAGGAAATGCGTCTCCAGTACGCCCTTGACACTCACCTCGATGGAGGTCCGCTTCTTGCGCTTGCGGCCCTGTGCAGCGATCTTGTCAATGCTGGTCGGGCTCCCTGTGGACGAATCCGCCTCCTCCAGCCACTTGTTCAGCAGGGGCTTCAGCTTGCACATATTTTTGAAGCTCAGCTGCAAGGCCTCGAACCTGCAGATGGTGGTCTGCGAGAACACGTTACCATACAGTGTGCCCAGCGCCAACCCCACGTCGGCCTGCGTGAAGCCCAACTTGATTCTTCTTTGTTTGAATTGTTTGGCGAACTGTTCCAACTCATCAGAGGTTGGCGTCTCCTCGTCGGAGTGATCCTGGCAATGGTGCGAGCCCAGTTCGCCGTGATCCGGGGGCTCTCGGAGCACCGGGTGCAGGCTCTGTGCAGAGGCGGCAGCTGGAGGTGGGGTGAGTCCCCCGTGTTCCAGCATGCCGCTCACGGTGAAGCCAGGCTGCGAGTACACGTTGAGGGGTTGGCCGCTTGACGTGATAGACGGGTTCGGTGCCGGGCTGGCCCCCCAGGCGTTGGGGTGGTTAGTGTGCGGTGAGTGGTGGGCTACGTGTGGCGAGCGGTGATGGATGATCGCACCCAGTTGCAGGTCTTCGCGCCCGGGCTTCACGTCCTGCTGGTCCAGGGGGCTGGTGGCCAGTGTGGAGGACCATGGGCCCCCGTCGCTCAGACTGGTCACCCAGTGATGCCCGAGGGGATGCCCATTGCTGGGAACTCCCTGCAAGTAATCACTTTGGAGAAGTTTCTGAGGGTTGCGGAAAGGACTCCCCTGCTGCATGCCCGCAGAGTCCGCATGGACTAGGGAGGTGGAACTGAGAATGCTGTAGGGATTCGAGGCAGCTGTGGCCATGGTCGGTGAGGATCCCCTACTAGTTATAATGTGGCAAAGGGAGCAGCTTCAGCCTTTGACATCTACGGTGCGGGGAGCCAAAGACGCTAGCACGGGTTACCGGCACCCACCACGGCCAATCGCAGCGCGTCTCCGCCTGGCCAGGAGTAAGCCCGGCCAATAGCGGTGCGGGAGGTCGGGCTCGCTTTCCAAATTAGGCTGGTGAAGCTCCGGAGTTTCAATGAGACCCAAGCAGGAAGTGAATCAATCTTTCAGCTCCATTGGCTGCCTAGCGCAGAGTGGCGGCCGTACATTTGATTACTACCCCCCCCACCGCGGGGTTTATGTTGATGGGGAAAAGATGTGAGGGATGTGTTGTTGGGGGGCAGTCAGGGAGTGAGGTGGAAAATTAAGGTTGTAGAACTCCTTTTTGATTATTTAGATTAATCTAAATAAAGAAAAAGTAAAGCAAGTTTAAATGTCATTTTGATCTCAGTGAATAGGGATTTTTCAGACTCACTCGGCTGTCTGGGCGGGCTAGTTGTGTGCCTAGGACTGCAAAACAAAACGTCGCTACAAACTTTGAGCAAAGTAACGTCTTCGATTGGACCCTAAACCAATAAAGTTGAAACCAATGATTCCAATAAGAACATTTCAGTTTATTTCATTGTATTAAGAACCTCGATATCAAGGTCTGAAAGCTTCTAAGAGATATCCTGTTCTTTCAATTTTTCTGAAAAATTTTTTAGGTCACGAAGAACTGAATTATTCTGGGAAAGTAAAATCTAATGTGATACTGACAATATTCAGTTATTTCGAAGTTTGCTTCCCAATCTAGCTGGTCAATTGGAAACCTTGCTTTCTCACTGCTCCATATCAGTTCCCATCACAGATCCCACAACTTCTGTCAAAGGTTCTGCTTGCTGAAGCGGGCAGCCCTCACACTCACCCAAAACACTCTGCAGACCCACTACGAATAGGTATACAGGAAAACGTTCGTGACCCCGCGCCCCGATGCCATCCCCTAGGAAAATTGTTTTTAACCTTCACCGCTCCCCCACCCTCCTCACCCGCCCTGCATTTAATGTGCCCAGGAAATTCAGAGAGAGAGAAATGGCGGGATGTTTGGCATCAAGTACCGCCCCCACTTCCCCAGTCCCCATCAAGCTTGAATTTGCTTTCAGCTTGAAAAGATAGGACTGCTTTTACATTTTGGATAGAATAAAAGAGGTGAAACACTTGTGCTCCTTCTAAGCTTTTATAAGTTAGGAAAGGACAAGTCCGTGTGCTCCACAGCCCGGCGCAAAGGCAGTGCTTGGAAGCAGAGTGGGGAGAAAGGCAAAGATTTGATTTGTTCTAGCTGAGAAAAGGCAACACCAGATACCCAACATGGTCTTTGAAGTTAAAAAAATGACCTTTCGTTGAATAATTTTGGAGGTAACCTAGCTGCCTAATTATATTTGCACTTACAGAAGACGGCATCAGAGTTCCCTTATTGGTTTGAAATTCCATTAAATATATTGCAAGAGCGCCTAGGTTAAGCTTGATTTAAATTTGCATACATTTTCATATATTTAGCAGAAATAAAAGAAGGCTTGCTGCTACCAGAAAGTCATTAAGGCATTAGTTTCTCTAAGAAGACAGATCTGAAGAATGTGCAAGAAAATGAGAAAAAAATAAAAACAAGGTGAGCTTATTCTGCCATTCCTTTATATAGCTAAAGAGCATCTATTTCCTGTGAAATGAGTAATTTCTTATGAGAGCACAGAGCAATAGGAGCTGATATTGGTAAGTGTAAACGTGTTTATTAGGCATGAAAACCTGGCATCTGATTCAGATCTATTTCTTTTTTTCACTCTTTTTTTTTAAGGTAAACACTTAGTAATTATTGGCAGAGAGGATCATTTGCCATCTCACCCCCTCTTCCTGCTCTCTCATTGAAACTGTAGCTTCATTTGCCCACGTCTTATTGTAGAGGCTTATCTGCTTTTAGAAATTGAGTTTTCCTTTCTCTCTCTCTCTTTCTCTCTCTCCCGCCCCCCCCAACTCCCCACCTTTTCTGCTAAGGAACTCATTCTTTACTGCTAACTGTTTGCATCTTCCTTTGCAAGAATGCAATCTCATTTGTGCCTGAAATTCCGCTTCTGGAAGAAACAAGAACTTGTCAAAATCAAACAAAAGTAAAGTTTTTAGGTGCTCTGTTAAGCTGGCCTTTGGAAGATCCATTTGTGAGTCTGTGTCGGCTCAATTTAGAGGTCAGAGGGAAACGCGTTGAAGAAACCTTACGTGTAAAACGATCATGATCATTGCCATGCTGTTTTTGTTGTTGTAGGTTCCCCACCCCCACCTTGCAGCTGCCTTTGGGCGAGAGTTGCTAATCTTAAGCCATTCAGGGGGTTAAGGTAATTATGAAATGATAAGACTTTTGCATCAAGAAGGGGATCTTTTTTCAATCTTGACTTGCCTGAGTTCTTACAATCAACCTTCCTCTTGCCCATGGCCTCTGCTCCTGGTACCCTATTTTGCCAGCCGCATCAAGTGGTTCAGACCATTTGCCAGAGGCTTGGAGGGGGAGAGGTAAGGAGGGAGATCTGATCCCAGGGACAGGTTTTTTACACCCTTACTTTGCAGTTTTTTAATGTAAAAACTCTCTTTTTAATGGAAATAATAGCTTTCGTCAGGAGCACAAACTGTCGTTATCGCCTTTATTTTTCTTTTCTCTCTCCTCTTTTTCTTTCTTTCTTTTTTTCTTTCTTTCCATCTTTCTTTCTTCCTTTCTTTCTTTCTCTTTCCTTCTTTCTTTTATTTAAAAAAAATGTTTCCATGAATATAGATACTGCCTATTGAATTCAGGTCCAATCACATCCTCTAGTAACTGTGATAGAATCTTCTCTTGCATGTAAGGTGTTTTGTTTTTTGAATAAAATATCTGCATATAGTCAAATCTTCTTGCTGTTCTAACTAATCTGCTGGAGAGGTTTCCTTCGCCCTCTCCTGTCAGTTTAACTTCCCAAGTGTAACAGATGCCGCTCTCAAGCGCTCCTTTCTGCAGCTTCTCTTTATTCAGCTTCACATATTTCTCCCCATGATCTGGGTTTCCATAGAGAGAGGAATAAAAGGGGGGACCATGGTCACAAATCCCCTGCCCCATGCAAAATAAAAGAGCCACATTCAATAGACGACCCGTCTGGACATGGGAGAAAAATAAGTTGATACGAAGCTACTGTTGCAAAGAGCTGGTAACTAATTTTTCATAGACTGCATTTTGCCTTAAACTCGAAGTTACCACTGGCAAGCTTGCTCTCTCATGCAGCTGGGCTACATACACACTTGATGTGCTCCACATCCTGATCTTGAAGCCCAAACCCGGTCCTCAGATCTGCTTCTCCCCACCCCCTCTAGAGCTTTGGTTTGAATAATATAACAATAGCTGTGGAACCTACCGGGTAGGGGCAGTTAAAAGTCGCCCTAGAGAGGAGCCCAGCTTTGAAGTAGACAAACTGTAATTGTAGCGAATCCCCACCTATCTTCAGCAAAGCAGCACAGGTTTCAATTCCTGTGCCAGGCAAGAACCTGGCACAATTTTTATTCCTTGTTAAGTTGCCCTCACACTCCAATTACACACCCCACCTTACCCTTTCCCCTTGCTTTGTTTCTAAGAGGGCAATTCAGATCATTTTTAAAAGAAAGTCAGATTGGCTTTATTTATATATGTTCATTTATTTGTAACTTCAGAGTTTGCAGTGGATTTTCTTCCTCACAAGATTTAGGGATACCAGCTCCTGAACGTCTTCACAGATACCCACTCCCCTTTCTTTCTAAGCAAGGAAAGATTCACAAAAGAAATTAAGCAGATTAATGTGGTTCAGGTTGTGTTCCTGTGGAAACATCTGAGCACGGCCGCAGCTGGGTAGCCTGCGTCCTGGCTCCTTTGGAAAGTACCCCAGCCATGGGGATTGTGTCTCTTGCAGATTTCATATGTGAGTGTAGATTATGAAGCATTCTCATTATGTGTACAAATTGAGGGTGGGGAGAGGAAGGTGGTTTGGGGCTGAAGCTGGCAGGGGGTCAGGACAGGGAGTAGCGGTGGGGGGTGGAGGGGGTTCAGGAAATAAGTTCAAAAGGCCAGATTTGATTGTGTGCAATATAGCATGAAGCTCCAAATGGCAGGACATGGAACATAGGCATTATCTCAAGATGAAAACTTCACCTTCAACCCAAGTTCACTTTGGAAACAGAACAAGTTAGATTGAGCTTGGTAGGGACAAATGTACATTTTCTTTTTAACACCGGGAGCTCATAAGGGAAGGAAACAATTGAACAGACTTCTCAAAGCAGCAGGGAAAAAAAGCTGTTTTCCTGGTTTCTGCATATTGATCTCATAAGACTGTTCTCGGTGTGAGACTCAGCTGTCCTTCAGAGCACTAGCCCACTGCAGCTCCTCTTATAGTCGCCTTCTTTCTTCTTCTCCTTTTTTCTTTTTCAAAAGCTGTATGGGATGGGGGGGAGGTAAGGGGCTCCTAATATTCTGGGGAAAATTTTTAAAAAAGAATTTAGATGACATTAGGAGACATTGCCAATACTGATGGTAGGACATGGCAAAATAGTTCATAGGCATGAACCAATTGAGCTCAAGCTCAATTAGTTCATTTTTTTTTTCAGGTCTCTATTGGCTTTCCTGAACGTAAGAAAAAGAATCTTCAGAGAAAAAGGAAAGAGGAAGAGGGGAGGGGGTGAGTACACACAGTGAATGCTGCAGCAGAAACAGGGAAACTTAAAATACTCCTCATGTAAAATCTAATACAAATACCCCAATCTGTGAGAACCACTAGTCATTTGCTAGCAAAATTGAATGCTCGGGAGAAGTGCTGAGGCATTGTGTGGCAGGGGCCTCTGACAGGATGGTTAGAGGACAGGCTGGGACAATAGAGACCCTCACTACCAAGGGAAAGGATGCTTGCTCCTATAACTGCGTTGGCCAGGTCGTGTCCGTCCAGTCTCAGTTTCTCTTTAGGGATCACATTTTTGCCGTTGCAATGTCGGTGGGTGAACCCTAATTTTACAGTATCCCAGAGAAAAGAGCTTTACAGAGACAGAGCTATTGTGTCATACTCAGCATAGCTATCATTTTCCTGGCACCAGGATTTGGGGTGTTTAGGAATCATTGTGCAGTTTTGCACTGCAGACCAAGCCTAGAGTCGAGGAACCCAGCGGATGGTTTTACAAAATATATAACACACGTGGAATTACACTTTTATCAAAAAAAAAAATAAGCCGCAGAATGCTTCCAAATTTAAAATGCAATGGTACTTTTGATTTTCATTTTAATTATTTTTTTGAAAGTAAGAAGTGGTAGAGGTATTTAAAAACGAAAAAAAAAATAGTCATAGCTGCGCGATTGATCAGAGGGCGGGTAGAAATCTCTTACTTTAAACCCTGCGCGCATCGGTATTCCAGTCATCAATAAGTCTTCTGGCTGAACATTAGAAGCTTTTCTTAAGTCACTATAGTAGTTAATAGAGCCTCCCCAAATTGCAAATCACTTCCTTCTTCATGGATGGATTAAGGTTTTAATGTGCAAAATTGTAAGAATGCTTAGGCTTCATTCCTAACTGAGGTCCTGTGTTCCCTGCCACCCTGTCTCCCCGCCCCTTAGTAAATGGTATTTATTTGTCTGAAACGGCGTGCGTTCCACGTCCCTTTGTGGTTATGGGACAACAGGAAGCTTGATTATAGATTGATTATGGGATCCTTCTGGAAATGACTTTTAGTAAGTAATCTGCTCAGTGTCTGGAGCTCACATTACCATTTCAGGGCTCCACAAAGAACAAGAATGTAAGTTTATCACTTTGAAAATGAGCAACCGACCAGATTTAACCTGCTGTCATTTTTCAGAAATTTCAATTACTATTATCATTATTTTCCAGGAGGAAAGAGTAGAGAAGGGGCTGCTGATGATTATGAAAATAATGTGTAGTGTGTGTGTATGTGTGTGTATGTATGGGGGGATTGTGGCCCCCCACCCAACAAAATGTATACACACACACACACACACACACACACACACACACACACAGAGAGAGAGAGAGAGAGAGAGTTTGGGGAAAAGTCCAATTTGCAAGGACATTTGGGGAACGCATTTTTAACAAGAATATTAATGCTTCCTCTGTTGTGATTGCTGTTGTGTTAGTTCTTCTGGGGGAGGGGTGTGAGTTTCCTGAGTGGTCTTAAAATTTCCCTTTTCTGTAACTTTTCTTTGGACCGACATCTCTTGCACTTTGCCTCACTATGGATTTGAGGAATCGATTTAGCTCCCCTGCCCCGAGAAGAGTTCCCTTCGGTCGGGTATTCCGGTTTCCAGCTGCCTGTGAATACATCAGTCAGGCCATCGTGGGTGTTGTGCGTGCACACACACATTTAATATCCAATAACTTTTTGGAATCTCTTTTCCAAGTACAAGAGCTCAGGTAGACAGCAGAACCTAGCCCCTGACCAGTGCTTTGCCCTTGGTGATTCTGCTCCCGGCTCAGGTGGTTGTGACTCCCCCAGCCAGCTCGCTCCCGTTCTGGTGTTGCCGCTAACCCAAGTCAGCTAGCTCCATTCTGCCGAGATGCAAAGCCATAAAGAATCAAGGAGCTTCCCCAAAACATCAGACAAGGCATCGGCAGGAGGGGGCGCGATTTGGGCAGCAACAGGATCCCTCGCCTTCTGGAGAGCTTGGCTAAAATGTCCAGATGTTTCGGAACGGTGGACCTGACCTTAGCCTCCTGGACATACACTGAATAGAGGTGTTGTGGTGGGGATCAGGAGCATTCTACTGAGATATATTGTTTTAAGATAACTCCGCGGGTGGCAATTCTTTAGGCCAAATGGATTCTATTGCGACACAGGGCAGCTGGCTAGAGGGGCTTATTTTGACAGCCTTCAGGACTTCATTGCCCCCTAAACCTCCCCAGCCTCTCTTCTATTTGAAGCACGATCTGAAGGATTGGTGGCAAGGTCACTTTCCCTCTGTTGGAGGCGGAGGGAGGGGGCAAGGATCTAGAAGCAAGACACCAAAGTGTCTGTATTAGCCTAGAGCTCCCGGCCCCCCACCCCGACAATAGTCGCCACCTGCTGTTCTTTTGGAGAGCCCTGGGCCTTTTCGGCCTGGCCAAAGGAATATCCTAGTCCCTGGGCAGCCTCTGCTGCTCCGCCAGGCGAGCCCCTCCTAGGTCGAAGGTTCTTTTTGCCCCTTGAACACTACCAAGCCAGTTGTCCTGCTCTCTAAACCTGCACCTATGTAAAGGGCTCAAGGTAGTGCTTTCTCAGGAGACAAGGCCCATCTCCTTCCCCAACAAATGATGTGTGTCACCACAGCTCTGCAGCAGTGACACCCCCCCTCGGGGGATATGCTCAGGACTAGCACCCCTATTATTCCCCTGGTGTGTTAAAGTGACAGTTGCCCTAAAATATTTTGTTCCGGCAATAAGGTGTTAACTTAGATAACATTAAGGGAGGAATTTAAATCTGCCTATTCCTCTTCAAAAATAAGAAGTTTCATGTTTTCAACAATTGAAGGGGCAAGAAAACCTTAGGCTTCTAAGGAAAGACATTTAGGGCAATCTAAATATCAATACTCAGATGTCTTTGGTACATCCTAAATATTTCTTTTAACTTATTCAAATAATAGTGAGAATGAGGCTTTTGCTTTTCCTCACCTATCTTCTTCTTAGTATTTCTACTTTTGGGGAGAGATTGGAATTCTTGTTTGCCAATAAACAATAGTTCAATCACATCTGCTCTCATCTTAACCTTTAAATACAATATTTTTTTTCCAGGTGCTTGATGTAAACATTAGGTATGTTACCACCTCTCTTAAACAAATGGATAACTCACATGTTTGCGCATGTGGTGAGGGGCAGTGGGTGTGAATTTACAGGGTTGGACCTTTGCATATTGGAGAACAAACCTATTTGAATATAAATTGCATTCAATAATGATCTCAACTCTTGAGTGTGGATCTCAGCTCAGCTAAGCAGAATCTTAGAGTTGTGGAGGATTGGTTTTCTTTTAACAGCTAGTTGACAGTTTTGTAAAGAACCGAGATTGTCCTATACAGACACCCACATTAGTGATGGAAAGATGCATTTGAGTCCCCCCTACTTTTATTCATCCCTTGGAGTAGAAGAATTGCATTTTCAAACATATTCTGTATGTTTTCAGTAGCATCAAGGGGTCTTAGAAATTTTTTTTACAGAGGAGGAAATTAAGTTACAACATGCAAACAGAAACACTTTGGGAAACATAGAATATGTTTGTTTTCCTAAAATTTACTACAAATGGAAAAAAAGTCAAGCTTTCTTAAAACAGTTTTTGTGAGATGATAACTTGCGTTATAAATATATTTACACTTCTCATTTTATGTCATTAGAATAAGTCTCATCCCACACAATTGAATTTTAAATTCTATTTAATATTCCATCCTACCACATTTTAAAAGGAGGACTATCTGTACCATGCTATGAAAGGAAACCAGAATATATTTATTGTTAAGGTATGAAGGATATTGAGGAATAATACAATGAAGTTTGGAATAAAAATATGTTCAGTTAATTTTTACTAGCCTTTACACATTCATTATTAACTCTTCCAAGTGCTCATTTGAAATAAAAATTATATCTGCTATGTATAGCATATCAAGAGTATTATGTCTTTATGGAATAATGCTTACTTTTGTAGGTGATTGTTGAAGGTAAATAATGTTCATGAAGTAAGCTAACTCAGATGATTCATGGAAGTATGTTAAAAAGATATGTTAAAGTGTTTTAGCTTACATTTGTATAGTTGGACACTCTATTTTTAGATATGTTGCAGTATTTCTCATTTGGTGGATCCACAAACTGCTTTGAAATGACTAGTAGAGTATAAGTAGATTGCAAGTAAACCTAGTGAATTAAGATGATTCTCTATCAGTTTAATTTATGTTTTATAGTTAGTTTAGCATTCTGATTTGATTGCCTTAGTAATGTGAATTGCCTACAGCTGCTGATGATACAGCTTTAATTCTGTTTTAAAGGTCATGTAAACATGTGCCTGTAGCATAAGGAATGCAAATTCAATTCCCTTTTAATGTTTCCTCACATTCACTTCACCGCCTTCACCTAGAAAATTAGTGAGATTTAATATAAAGTATTCTAATGTTATAATTTCATTAAAATCCTTTTTCAATGCTTTACTTTTCCTTTTGCAGGGTAAAGAACTCTTCCTCCGCTTTGCGGTGCATAGCTCATGCAACATACATCACTCATACTGGAGGCAGAAAAACATTTATGTTATGATCTATTTACTTTTCTGATGCTTTTACTAATAAAGAGCTGAGAACTTCATTTCAGTTTCTCTGTAGCCGCAGGTGAAAAGGACACAAAACAAACTAGAAAATATAGCCACATTTTAGATTGCAGTAGACAGAAGCAAAATATTGTACAGATATGTAGGAGCCTGTAGTCACAAGCATTTTCATAATATAAACACATAATCGAAACTGAACTGTGGCAAACATATAGCAATAGGAGAAAAATATTTAAAATATATGTGACATAGAGAAGAATGCTTTAGTTGTTCCAAATTCATAAGAAAAATATATAAATTATGGCCTTCAGATTCCATGGCTTAAATATTGTTTGATATGCAGATTTTTTTTTCATTACTTAAAAAATATATTAATCCCTTGAGATTAATACAAGCCTGTGCCACTAGATTATATTAAAACTTTTAAAATGTACTTTAAGAAATTGAATAAGTCCTTGCAAAATATACAACTGTTAGTAGAAGAGACAGTCATGTGGAAATGAGAAAAATGGGGGATGTAAAACAGCCAAGTTGAAATAAAGTAGAAAGTTTAACCTAATATTCTTGGTGACACCATTGTGCTGTTTTATAATTTATATCTCTGCTCTTCATATGTCTCTAAGCTGGCACTTTTTTGCACTGAAAGTTAGCTAGATGTCATAATTTCAGATATCTTTTTGCTTAAATTGAATTGGCCAAAGGAATAGAATGTGAAAAATATAGAAGTGGAAAAATATACATGAATACATTTATTTGTTAGCATATTGTTTAATATAACAAAAACAAAAATAAAAGCACATATAAATGAAATCGGAATGTAATCATTCTCCAATGTAGCTTAATTTGGTATTGAGGAAGTGTAATTCAAAAGTTCAGACCTCAACTTTGAAAGATAACTGCTGTTGCATTGTAATAAGTGTGTTTTGTTCTATGTTTGTGTGTTAAAATAGTTACCCAAAACACGTGAACAACTATGAATGCCCATTGAAGAAAGGGCTATGGCCATGAACATCTTAGGTGCTGATATAAGCCGGTGATTTTTCATATTTTACCTCTGGCTTACTGCTCACAGTTTTCAAACACTTCTCTCTCCCTCATTTTCTTATTAGAGGGGACTCGACATACAAAGTTTATATGTAAAGCTTTGAGAAAATGCCACATTTTCATTAGCACTCTGGACTCCGACAATATAATACTGCAGAGATACCTGATTGATGATAAAATCAGCATGGAAGTAGACTCTGTTTTCTGTGATTTTGCCCTCCTGCTTTATGTCAGTACAAGTTACAGATGAAATTGCTTGGAGATTTTTTTTTGTTTTAGTTTTGCACAATCTTATTGTTAATGTGTATATATTCTTAAAATGAAAACCACAACTGGAAGAGCTGTGTTACACATAAATTGTACAAATTCCCAATGTGTTTTGCCTTTGATAGAAGACTTTTAGTCATATTGTTGTTGTTCTGCCTAAGGAAATTTAAATTGTGCAATAATACAGTCCTACATTTTATTTTATTTATTTTTTATTTTTTTGGAATTTGTCATTTTGAATAATAGATTCAAATGAGCAAGTTTCTAGCTTTTTATTCTGAAAAAATGTAACAATTCTGCTCATAAAAGTATTCTTTTAAACAGAAATGAACTGTAAATAAATTAGGACCCCCCCCCAACAAAATCACTGCATGGAGGTCTATGTGTTGTGTCTACGCTGAACACGGGAGGTCTATGTGTTGTGTCACTCATTTGCTTGTATGCGTTTGATGTCACCTTAGTCAGATGATATTGCACTTATAGGTGTCAATTTCAATATAGGTACACATTTTTCCTTGATGGCAATATTAGTACTATTATCCTATCAAAAAGATACAGAGATACAATTGAAAGTTAGCTATTTCATGAGTGCATGCTCTCCCACTAAAAGAGCGAACAGTGTTCATGTGTGAGTAGCATGTGTCTCAGGGATAATCCCTACCTAAAATAGCTAAAAATAACATTTAAAAAAAATAAAGCACAAAGAGACAAAAAATGTCAGCATTTACATTTAATCCAGGTATGCTGTAATCCATTTGCAAGGTAGTTAACAGACATGCTTCTTTAAATTTTGTGCATACACACACAAACATTCTGAAAAAAAATTAGGGTGCTTTTTAATGCAGCTACCCCCCACAATATATTTTCATATTTTTTCCACTGCATTTTATTTCCACAGTTTTCTAATATCCTGTAGCTTCTCCCATTGAATAATAGCACTTACTATTTGTGTTCTGAGAATGAATTATTTGAACACAAACAAGGTACATAGAAGCATTTTGAGGCTGAGTCTATTAATTTTTATCCTTATCACTGCTTGGCTTTAAATATAAAGAGTGTTAAATGACTTTATTAAGTTAAAAATAGCATTACAAAGCACCTGTGGTAGTCTCTTATCAAATCTCTATATAGTAACAATGATGGAAATTTGTTGTTATAACTATTCAGAGAAAGTTTACAATTTACTTAAAATCAACTTAACTAGAAAAACTGAGAGAAATAATGTGCTTGAGACAATGAGCCACAATTCGATATTTCCTAATAATGTATGTTCTTGCATGTTCTACTATGTGTTTTTCTTCGTTATCTTCTTATATCTGAAGTTCTATTCCCACCCCTCTTCCCTCCACCCCATGTATTTGATCATCTCTTCAAGTCCCTTGGCTGAACCAATCTCTTTTCATGCAAGGATAAAAAGAGAAGAACTTCAAAGTAGGTTCAGGTAATTAACAGCTGAGGGGAATATAATCTAAACCATAGGCCCTGCTTTGCACCCAGGCTGGCTCTCTGAGCCAGCCGGCAAGGGAGTGCCTATTCCCTATAGCATCTAAATCTGCTTCCTCTGAACAGCTCTGCCAGGCCTCTAGTTATCACATCTGCATTTCAAACACCGTGGCTCTGGCATTAATTATTAATTAGCCTACAGTCACCCTAGAGGATTCAAGTTCCAGTCTGCACATACTTATTCATTGACCTCTATCTTAGTTTTTGTTGGGGTGGAGGGGGGGAAACTCAGTAGAATGCTTAATAATTTTCTTTCTTTTAGACCTTCTGTTCTAGTTTCAATGAAGAGAAAACAGTATATTTTTCCAAGTGGGAATAATCACAGAGTGGCCCCCAAATTTGTTTACAGTAAAATACTTTGTGAAAAATTGAGGGACATAGAAGGAATAAAATGATTTTTAGACAGTATTGAGTGTAGAAAGTTTCTTTTTAATATTTTACCAATTGACTGATTGTAGTTTCCTCAAACTGGGAGATAACAATCATGGGAGAAAGCCAAATAATTCCTTAGTTCTCAGTGCGAGCAACTGCAGAGCTTGTAAAGTGAACTAGATTCCATCCTTGGTTAATACATATGTATAATCAATGAGACCTATAGTGGTAGGTGCTGCTGAAAGCAGGAATGTCCAACAAATCTATAAACAAAATGATTTTTAAAAAGATAAATATTCTCATTTTTGGTTTATTTCAAAAAGAAATTTAAAGAAACTCCTTTCTTACCAGCAAACATTTTGATGTGTACTAAACTATTATGCTATTTGTCACAAACCTTCGGGCCTAAATGTGAAAGCCTTTACAGAGTACTATAATGGTTAACTGAGTCAGCTGAGCCCTGCTATTGACTAAATGACCTTAAATCTCATGTCATCTCTGAGACTCTGACTTCCCTTTAGGAAAATGAGGGTAACATTAGACCCTACCTCATGGAATTGTTATGAGAATTAAATGACATAACGCATAAAATAGTTCATCATAGTGCCTGACATATAGAAATGCTCAATTAGTGTTAATAATTGTAAAAAAAAACTTGTTCCATTATTTTGTTGAGAGAATTTGAGAGTTTTTCTTACTTTTTATTTAAATATCAATTCCTCTCCAAAATAAATGAATAAATGTCAAATCCACTCTTCATGTTCTTCCCAACGTGGGGTTTTTGAACAACCATGTATGAGAACAGCCCCTGCTGCCCTACTCCTAAGTTATTTTTACTAGTGCCCCTATTACCATTCAGTTGCCATCATGATCACCCTCTTCTTCACCCCAAAATACTGTTTTCTTGCTTTGTTTTCTGGCAGTTCTTCTGGAATCTAACCATCTCTGGTGCAAATCTTTCTCCCTAATATAGGAAACCTTGTGGAGCTTTTCCAAACATTTCAACTTTTGTCTTTGACCTGTTGAGTTCCCTCTGGAATCACAGTCTTCTTAAGCTGGTGGGATTGGGGGAGGGGTCTTGTTACCTATGCCAAGACTGGGAATGTGATTCCAATACTGATGTAGAAAATAACAATCCCACCATTCACATTTATCATTTTGGTAATTTTCCCTGTATTATTTTCTTTGGTTTTAAATATCTATAAATATGATTGTGATACTGCTTTATAAGCAATTTCATGTGTTTTCTTTTTCAACGTGACATTATATTACATGATTTCCCTATGTCATTGCAAACTCTTACTATTAATATTTTTTAAAGATATCATGTTATTTCATATTAAAAGTGTAACATAATTTACATAAACATTCCTTTTTGTTGACTTTTCAAATATTATGAATACAGTGTAATTTATATTTGAACACAAATATATTTGTAAAATGTTTTATTACCTTTTTTGGTACTTAGTTTCAGTCTACGGACACACACACACACACACACACATCTTATTTTTTTTTTTAAATCTCACACATTAGCTATCCCTATGATTGTGTCATGTGCAAATTAAAGACTCTTCTATATCTTGGTCCACATTGAAAATAATATTGAAAAGCATAAGGCAAAAGAGAGAGTCAAAGTTTTACCACTTGAGATTTTGGTCAGGTTTACAAACTTGTATATCAAATTATAAATACCTTAGCATCCAGCAAAAATGTATCTTTATTTTTACCACGTGAAACCCATGGGATTTTGAAAGTCAAAAGAAACTTTAGATCAGTGATCCCCAACCTTTTTGGCACCAGGGACCAGTTTCAAGGAAGACAATTTTTCCACAGACAGGTGCTGGGGACAGTTTCAGGATGAAACAGTTCCACCTCAAATCATCGGGCATTAGTTACATTCTCATAAGGAGTGTGCAACCTAGATTCCCTTGCACGTACAGTTCACAATAGAGTTTGCACTTCTATGAGAATCTAATGCCCCTGCTGATCTGACAGGAGGTGGAGCTCAGGTGGCCATCCTCTCTTGCCCGCTGCTCATCTCTTCCTGTGCCACCTGATTCCTAAGAGGGCACAGACCAGTACTGGTCCCCAGCCCAGTGGCTGGGTACCCCTGCTTTAGATGATTATACAGTCCAGGACCTTAACATAAAATTTTGAATGATTGTTAAAAGGCCGCCACATCTGTACCAGTTCCACCTGAATTTTATAAGACAAAGAAATGGGGCTGGTTCAACATGACTTGTTTTTAGTGAATCTATAATGGCTTCTAATGAACATCCTTGGATATTTTTAGGTTCTTACAAAAGTTTTTAATAATAAATTTGAGAATTTTGGGGGGCATTAATTGGTCTATATTTTGTAGAATCTATCATTTCCCCCTTGTTGAGATTTAGTTGTTCACTGCCAATGGCTAGCTCTTACTTAAAGCAATAATATGCCAAAATTGCAGAACTATAATTTTGTATTGCTAATCAGCAATGACGTTGTGCAGTAAAAATATTATAGAGATAGCAATAAAAATTACATGTACTAGAATCATTATCTCCTCCAGTCAAGGTACTAGAGCAGGAGGTTTATAAAGCATGTATAGAAATAGAAGTGGGTGAATCATGATTAGACTAGATGACTTTTAAGATATTAAGTACTCAGATGCTCTAAAAGACATTTACTAAAATTATTCTAAGACTAAGATATGCTAATTAACCGATTATAAATTGTTGAAAATGAATTTCAAGGTTTTGTCTTTAGAGATGTTTTAAATGACAAATTTAGGTTTCATCAAAAAATAAATTATTTTTTATTCACTATTTTAAAGTAGCAGTATTTACTAAATAAAGTTCAAATTGTGAGATAATTATGTAGTCCAAATATCTCAAATGTATTTTTAAAAGCAATTTAAAACTTTACCCCAATAGAATTTTAAATTGTTTTAGCAAAAACTGGAAATATATACAAGTACATATAAGGGCTAATTGAGATACTGATGGAGATGATGAACTGAGATTCTAAATTACTCAGAAAAAATGCCTTGTGTGGATGAACTAAAATGATATGACATTATCTACAAGTGGTGAAAGAATCAATGGTTTAAGAAGTGAAGCCTTTAAGATGATTAATAAAAACTTATGTGATTAAATTGTTGTGTAAAGTAAAATGAATGGATATGTGACTGACCATATAAATACCTGCTCCACTACGTTATCTATTATTTTTAAGTAGTAAACAGGAGCTTTTATGATAGAAGAAGTCCAAGATTTGGAATGAATCATATTTGGGTTCAAATTTCATCTCTACTCCTCCTTCAATGTAAGAGAAAATCATTAAAACTCTCTAAACCTCAGTTTTTTTTTTTTAATTTGTGAGATGGAGATAACAAAATAATATAGCTTGCTGGTTTATCTTAATAATTAAATTTTAAAAATCTGAATAGCTTTTAGATCTGTGCATGACACATGGCAGATATTTCAGCAAAAGGGAAGGAATTATTTTTATTGCTATAACTTTTTCTGTGTAAATGTGTATTTGACAGATAAAAATTTTACCTCTAAATGGCCCACAAAAGCCTTTAAAAATTTATCAATTTGGATTGAAACATTTATATTGCATTCTCTCGTTCTTTCAGTGAGCTATAGTGAACATAACTGATATGTTTCTTAATGGTCCTGGGTAATCACAAGAAATTCTCATGTCTTTGCTCTTCTCTCATGTGTCAATGACCTTGGCCTGCTAATTTATTAAGAGCTGTGTTTGTCCCATTTCTAAAATTGTTCTAAGCTGTGCATTTTCAGATCTTTATCTGATTTTCCAGTTTTTTTTCTTTTTAAGTTCAACTGTCATAGTTAAAAGATGCTGTGAATATACCTGCCTGTAGTAACCTCGACCTCATTTTCTTTCCCCTTTTTCTCTAACCTGCTGTAGGCTCAGAAAACAATAACAGCAGCCTATCTACATTGTGCTTTACAGTCTACAGTGTGCATTCATATTTAACACTTTGGACTGAACATTTGACACTTTGGAGTGAATAGATATAATTATCCTCAGTTTACAGGTGGGAAAATGAAGGCACAGAAAAGGTAAGAGATGTGCTCAAGGTTTTACAACTCAGATTCAAACCAATCCTTTTGACTAAAGGCTTCAAAAAATGTATTTTGACTAATCAGAGAACTTATCTTTACATTTGTATTGCTAATTATAACCCACATACCATATATAAAAAACTGAAAGTACAACTTGGAAATGATTGTAAAGCAACCCCCATGTAATTCCTTAGGGAAAGAAATAAAACACTCTCAACACCTGTGTACATTTTCTTAAATGTAGCCCTCTCCTCCACTAAGAGTAACCCTCTTCTGACTTCCATGGTTCGCTTTGTAGTTTTTCCACCCGTGTTCTGAAATAACAGTTCAGTTTTGCCTATTTTTGAATGTTATTCAAATGAAATCATACAGTATGTGCTATTTTATAACTGGCTGATTTTGATCAATATAATATGAGTGTGTGTCACCCACATTGTAGCATTAGTTGTAGTTCATTAACACTTCTGCATAGTATTTCATTGCGTGAATACACTATAATTTATTTATCCCTTTGTATTGTTGATGGATATTTATGTTGCTTCTAGTTTTTGCTCTAAGGAATGCTGCTATGAGCATTTTTGCACATGGGTCTTTTACACATAACTTATATTTCTGTAAGGCATATAGATCTAACATTGGAATGTTGTGTTGTAAGGTATCTCCAATTTTGCTAGATTACTCCAAATTTTTTTCCAAAATGATTGATCGTATCAATTAACAGCCTTTTATTCCACACTCATTCAGAATATGAGATTTCTCATTGTTTCATTTTATCTTTCCTTTTTTATGACATTCCTGCTGTCATTTGCACATATATTGGGTTGTCTTACTTTTTCATATTACATCTTTGTAGTAATGCTTTCTGTGTCCTTAGAAGGATCCCTTTGTTGGTTATATTTTTTCAACTATATTCTTTCATCCTGTGACTTACCTTTTACATTTCTTAATAGTTCTTTAAATGAAAATAAATTCTTAATTTAAAAAGTCAAATTTATTCATTTTTCCCCTTATAGTTAGTGCTTCTTATGAAATTAAGAAATATTTTCTTGTCCTGAGAGCATAAATATATTTGTTTTTTGAGACAGAGCTTTGCTCTGTCACCCAGGCTGGAATGCAGGGCCATGATTAGGCTCATTGCATCCTCAACCTCCCAGGCTCAAGCACTTTGGCCTCCCAAAGTGCTGGGATTACAGGAATAAACCACCGTGCCTGGCTGATAATATATTATTTTATTATCTGAAAGCTTTGTTGTTTTGTGTTTCAAACACAGGTCTATAATCTACCTGGATTAATTTTTGTGACCATGTGATGTAGGGCTCCAATTTTATTTTTACCTATATGGGCAACTTGTTTCACCATTATTTATTGAAAAGACTGATCTACTTTGTTAATGTTGTATAAATCAAGGGATCCTACATGCATTTGTCTGTTTCAAGGTTTTCAATTATCTCTCATTTGGTCTATATATAAATCTGTGCAATTGCCATATTCTTTTTTTTTTTTTTTTCCTGAGAAAGGGTCTTGCTGTGTTACCCAGGCTGGAGTGCAGTGGCGCGATCATGGCTCATTGTAACCTCAGCCTCCTGAGCTCAAGAGATTCCCCCCACCTCTGCCTCCTGAGTGGCTTGGACTACAGGCGCATACTACCATGCCTGGCTAATTGTATTTTTTTGTAGAGGTGAGGTTCTGCTGTATTGCCCAGGCTGATCTTAAACTCCTAAACTCAAGCTATCTTCCAGCTCAAGCTATCTTCCAGCCTCCTCTTCCCAAAGTTCTAAGATTACAGGCATGAGCCACCGTGCCCAGACCATAGTTTTTATTACTATAATTTTATAATTTCCTAAATAAATTTGCTAAAATTTGTTTTTTTCTCCAAGAATATCTTTTCTACTTTTAGACTTTTGTGTTTCCATATAAATGTTAAGATAATCTTGTCAATTTAGAGAAAAGCCCATTGAGATATTAATGGAGATTTCATTGAATTTATTCATTTTTTGACCATACGGGGTCTTCCAATCCATAAACATGACATCTCTCTCTCTCTCTCTCTCTCTCTCTGTTAATGAAGTTTTATATCTCTCCATAGAAATCTTGTTCATTATTTTGTCATGTTTTGTATAGGGCACCCTTTTACAAATATCACTTTATAAACATTTGTTGCTATTTTATAGAGATATGATCGATTTTGCAATTGGTTGTTTAGTTTCCCTCAACCTGCCAAGTTCTTTAATTAATTTTAATATTTTATATATAGATTTTGTTGGATTTTCCAGGAACACAAACATATAACTTAAAATAATAAGTTTTATCTATTTGCTTCATATGTATGAAATATTAGATTTTTTCATCTATTCACTACTCCTGTGCAATAGGATTATACAACCCAGAACATTGTCATATGACTTGCTTGTGCATCCCTTTCCACCCGCCAGTAGCTGTGGGAGGGCTATACTTTCTGCATCAATGACTTGATCATTTGAAATGGAACATGGTTTGGGTGATATCATGTGAATGAATATAGTGTGTGCCATGTTTGAACAAAGGATTTAACTGCCATCTTGTAGATTGGTTTAGATTCTTTTGCACCTGTATGTCCCCTGTCTGAGGAAGAACATAACTCGAATGGGGCTGGTGCTTAACCTGGGGCTAAGAATAAGAAGACATGTGAAGCTAAGCACAGCTGTGTAGAACTGCAATCAACCCGCAACCTTCATGTCATGTAAGCAAGAAATAAGTGTTGCTGAAATTATTGGAACTGTTATTATAGTAAAAGTTGAAATAAAATACAATCATTTTAGCTTTTACTTTTGCAGCAGTTATTAAGCTATTGTCTTTCTGCTCTAAATTTACCCTTCTATTCTCTGCTCCGTGGGACTGAGGTGAAGCTCAGCATAGCACATTTTTTCTTTGCAACTTGGTTCTGCATTATATTTCTTCAATAGTGGGCCTTAGGAAGAGATTTTCCGGTTGGAGATGAGGGGGAAGGAATTTGTTCTTTCTTCCTTGCTCCCTGTTTCACTCCAGCAATGGCTCTTCACCCCAGCAGTGGCATTTGGTTTCAATAGCAGTTGGTTCCAATGTCCAGCATTCCCTGACACTCCCAGATCCAACCCCATTATAAATACTTGGAGGTATTAACACAAACTGGAGGTATTACCTGTGGCCTATTTTCAGAGGTCTGAGTCCCTGATCCATGAGATCCCCTTCCAAGCTCCTGAATACCATCACTAGTCAGGCAGCATCCTCTCAGAGAGGATTTCTCAAGTCTTTTTCTCCAAGCTTCTAGGTTCTGATAACTCTAATCTATCTCCTTTGTCTCTCTAGGTCTAGGGGCGGTATCTGTTTCTGCAGTTGCTCTCTTGTTACCACAGTGTTTGCAACAGCCTTTTCAGTCTTCTGACGCCTATTTATATAACTCACATTATTAACTTTTCTCTGCTAAATGGACCATTTTCTTGAGTTACTGCACTGGCTAAGACCTTTAGAACAATGTGTTTTTGTCTTGTTCCCTATGTCAAATTGAAAGTATTCAACATGTCATCATTAAGTATGATTTTGCGGTAGATTTTTCTGTTTTACATTTATAAAAAAAATCAAGGAGGTTTCTTTTTATTCCTTGTTTTCCGGAAAGCTTTATCATTAAAGAAAGTTGATTTTACAAAAAAAATTTCCATATATTTAAATAATCCTATGAATTTTCTTCGTTAGTCTGATATTGTGAGTTTCTGAGTATTAAATCAACACAGAATCCCTTGGATAAAATCAACTTGGCCCTGACATATTATTACTTTTACATATTGTGAAAATTATTTTGCAAATATTTTGTTTAGGATTTTTTAATTTAATTGTTTTTATTATACTTTAAGTTTTAGGGTACATGTGCACATTGTGCAGGTTAGTTACATATGTATACATGTGCCATGCTGGTGTGCTGCACCCATTAACTCGTCATCTAGCATTAGGTATATCTCCCAATGCTATCCCTCCCCCCTCCCCCCATTTTTTGAGGTAAAATATACGTATGAAATTTACCCTCTTAAAAATTTTAAGCATACAGTTCAGTGGTAATAATTACATTTACATTCTTTTTTTCTTCTTCATCTCTCCTCTCCCCACCCTTACCAGTCTCGGGTAACCACCAACCTACTCTGTCTTCATGATATCCACATTTTTTGCTCCCACAAAGGAGTGAGAACATGTGATATTTATCTTTGTGTTTGGCCTATTTCATTTAACATAATGGCTTCCAGTTTAATCCATGTTGTTGCAAATAAAATAATTTCATTTTTAATGGATGAATAATATTGCATTGTGTATATATTCCAAATTTTATTTATCCATTCATCCACTGATGGGTACTTAGATTGATTTCGTATTTTGGCTATGTGAATAGTGCTGCAATAATGATGGAAGTGCAGATATCTCTTCATTATATTGATTTCCTTTGGGTATATATCCAGTACTGGAATTGCTGGATCATACAGTAGTACTATGTTTCACTTTTTGAGGAACTTCCATACTGTTTTCCATAGTGGTTGTACTAAATTACATTTCCACTAACAGTTTATAAGAGTTTCCGTTTCTCCACATCCTCACCAGCATCTGTTATTGCCTGTATTTTTGATATAAGCCATTTTAACAGAAGTGAGATAATAGCTCATTGTGGTTTTGACTTGCATTCCTCTGGTGATTAGTGATGTTGAACATTTTTTCATATACCTGATGGTCATTTGTATGTCTTCTTTTGAGAAATGTCTGTTCAGATCTTTTGCTCATTTTTAAACTGAAGTATTTGTTTTCTACTATTGAGTTGTTTGAGCTCCTTATATATTCTGGCTATTAATCTCTTATCAAATGAATAGTTTGCAAATATTTTCTACCACTCTGTGAGTTATCTCTTTACTTTGTTGATTGTTTCCTTTTCTGTGTAGAACCTTCTTAGGTCAATGCAATCTTATTTTTTTTACTTTAGTTGCCTGTGTTTTTGAGGTCTTAACACACACACACACAAAATCTTTTCTCTGACTAATGTCCTATAGCAATTCCCCAAAGGTTTTGTCTAGTAGTTTCATAGTTTCACGTCTTAGATTTAAATCTGTAATCAATTATGATTTCATTTCTGTGTGTGGTGAGAGACAGGGTCCTATTTTCATTCTTCCACATATAGTTATCCAGCTTTCCCAACATTAGTGACATTGGCCTATTGTTTTTGTTGTTGTTGTGTCTTTGTCTGGTTTCAGTATCAGGGTAATGCTGACCTTGTAGAATGAGTCTGTAAGTATTCCTTCTGCTTCCATTTTTTTTTTAAAGAGTTTGAGTTGAATTGGCATAAGTTCTTTAAATGTTTGGTAGATTTCAACAGTGAAGCCATGAAGGCCTGAGCTTTTCTTTGATGGGGGACTTTTTATTATGGCTTCGATCTCATTACTTGTTATTTGTCAAGGTTTTCTCTTTCTTCCTGGTTCAGTGTTGATAGCTTGTATGTGTCCAGAACTTTATCCATTTTTTTTCTAGGATTTCCAATTTGTTGTCATATAGTTGTTCAAAATATTCTCTAATGATTCTTTGTATTTCCAAGAGTTCAGTTGTTATGCCTCCCTTTTTGTTGTTTGTGATTTTATTTATTTGGGTCGTCTCTCTTTTTGCTTGGATAGTCTAGCTAGAGGTTTGTTTTATTTTGTTGATCATTTCAAAAAAACCAACTTTTCATTTTATTGATCTATATTTTTGTTTTAGTCACCGTTTCATTGATTTATTCTCTGGTCTTAATCATGACTTTCCTTCTCCTAATTATGGGGTCATTTTGTTCTTGCTTTTCTAGTTTTTGAGGTGCATCATTAGGTTGTTTATTTGAAGTCTTGCTACCTTTTTTTACATAGGTGTTTATTGCTATAAACTTCCTTCTTAGTACTGCTTTTGCCATATCCCACAAATTTTAGTGTTTCCATTTTCATTTGTTTTGAAAAATGTTAATTTTCTTCTTATTTTCTTCATTGACTCATTCATAACTCAAGAGCATGTTGTATCATTTACATGTGTTTGTGTATTTTTTGAGATTCCTCTTGTTTCTCTTGGAATTTATTTCTAGTTTTATTTCATTGTGGTCAGAAAAGATACCCTATATGACTTCTATTTTTTAAAAAAAATTATTCAGACTTGTTTTGTGGCCTAAGGTATGGTGTATTCTGGAGAATGTTCATGTACTGATGAAAAGAATGTGTATTCCGCGGCAGCTGGGTGAAAACTCTGTAAATATCATTTAGCCTTATTAGATCTAGTGTGTGTAGTTTAAATGTTCTGTTTCTTTGTTGATTTTCTATCTGGAAGATCTGTTCATTACTGAGATTGGAGTGTTAAAGTTGCCTACTATTATTGTACTGCAACTTTTCTTTTCCTTTAGATATATTGATGTTTGCTTTATATACTTGGGGGAGCTCCAGTATTGGGTTCATAGCTATTTATATTTGTTATATCATCTTGCTGAATTGACACCTTTATTATTATATAGTTACCTTCTTTGTCTTTTTCTACAATCTTGGATTTGTAGCCTATTTATCTGATATAAATATAGACACTTCGGCTCTTTTTCAGTTTCCACTTGCATGGAATATGTTTTTCTACCCTTTCACTTTCAGTCTAAGTTTGCCTTTGTAGGTGAAGTATGTTTCTTTAAGGCAGCATATAGTCAGGTCGTTCTTTATCCATTCAGCTTTGTAATTGGATAATTGAGACTGTTTACATTCAGCATTATTATTGCTAAGTAAGAACTTACTACTGTCATTTTGTTGCCTGTTTTCCAGTTATTTTGGGACTCCTGTCTTTCTTCCTTTCTTACTATGTTCTTTTGTAGTTAAGTAATTTTCTCTGGTAATATGTTTTAATTTGTTGCTCTTATGTGTAGTGAATCTATCATAGCTTTTAGTGCTGTGGTTTCTATGAGGTTTACAAAAACAGTTTATGGATTTAACACGGTATTTTTAAAGAGATGAAAACTTATCTTAGGTCACAAATATAGAAATAGAAACAAAGGCAAAACACACACAACAAATTCTACACTTTATTTCCATATCGTCCATATTTTGACTTTTAGGTGTCTCAATTTATGTATTTTACAATACCTATATCTTAATAGGCTTCCATAGCTATGATTTTTTTGGTAGATTTCTCTTTTGGACTTCATAATAGAGTTACGAGTGGACTGCACAATACTCTATAGTAATAGAGTATTATTGGCTTGTTCAAGTACTTAATTTTACCAGTGGGTTTTATGCCTTCAAATGTTTTTTCTGTCTTTCTTTTTTTGCACATAGGAGTTTTGTTTTTTGTTAGATTGAAGAGCTCCCTTTAGCATTTCATGTAAGATGGGTCTGGTGGTGGTGAAATATCTTAGGTACTTAGATATCATTTTCTGTGAAAGACTTTATCTCTTCTTCATATTTGAAGGGTAATTTTGTTTAGTACATTACTCTTGGATAGTGTGTTTTTTCTTTAAGCACCTTGAAAATGAAACATCATACAACTCCCTACTGGCCTGTATGATTTTCCTTGAAAAGGCTGTTGCCAGATGAATTGGAACTACTTAACATGTTATTTGCTTCTTTTCTCTTGCTGCTTTTAGGATCCTCTATTTGTTCTTGCCCCTTGAAAGTCTGATTATTATATACCTGGGGGTTGTCTTACTTAGGTTGAATCTATTTGGTGTTCTCAGACTTTCCTACATCTGAATATTTATATTTTTTCAAGTTTTGAATAGTTTTCGGTTATTATTTCTTTTATTAAGCGTTCTATCCCTGCATCTTGCTCAGCTTCCTCTTTAACACCAATTCTTAGATATGGTTTTTTGAAGTATTTTCTATTAATATATCTTGTAGGCATCTTCGTTTTTTTTTTTTTTCGTTATTTTTTTTCCCTCTCACGGTTCATTGTCAAATAGATGGCCTTTGAGGTCCCTGAATTTTTTCCTCTGCTTGATATATTCTCCTGTATGTAGCCTCTAACTTGTTTTTCAGTTTAGCAAATATATTTCTCAGCTCTAAGACTTCTACATTTGATTTTTTAAATTATTTCAACCTTTTTGGTAAATTTATCTAATAAATTTCTGAGTTGGTTTTCTGTGTTGAAGACCACTGAGTTTCATTAAAAATCCTATTTTTGGGGGAGGGTTTATTTTTTAATTTATTTTTTGTTTCAATAGTTTTTGGGAACAAGTGGTTTTTGGTTACATGGATAAGTTCTTTATTGGTGACTTCTGAGATTTTGTTGCACCTATCACCCAAGCAGTGTACACTGTACTCAGTGTGTAGTCTTTTATTGCTCACCATCTTCAACCCTTCCCCATGAATCCCCAACATCCATTATATTGTTCTTCACAAAACAGTAAAGGCATCCAAATTGATAAAAAGAAAGTTAAATTGTTGCTGTTTGCTTAAAACCCCAGAAAACCCTCATACCTCCACAAACACATGGAAATTAAATAATCTCCTCCTGAATGATCTTTGGGTCAGCAATGAAATAAAAATGAAAATTTAAAAAATTATTTGAACTGAACGATAGTAGTGACACAACCTATGAAAACTTCCGGGGTACAGCAAAAGTTGTGCTAAGAAAAAAGTTCATAGCATTAAACCCCTACATCCAAAAGTCTGAAAAAGCACAAATAGGCAATCTAAGTTCACACCTCAAGGAACTAGAGAAACAAGAAAAAAACCAAACCCAAACCCAGCAGAAGAAAGGAAATAACTAAGATCAGAGCAGAATTAAATGCAATTGAGACAAAAAATACAAAAGATGAATAAAACAAAAGCTGATCCTTTGAAAAGATAAACAAAATTGATAGACCATTAGTGAAATTAACCAAGAAATGAAGAAAGAAGATCCAAATAAGCTCAATTAGAAATGAAATGGGAGATATTACAACTGATATCACATAAATAAAAAGGATTATTAAAGGCTACTATGAACACCTGTACATACACAAACTAGGGGATAGATAAATTCCTTGAAATATATCTTTCCAGATTAAACCAGGAAAAAATAGAAACTCTGAACAGACCAATAACAAAAAGCGAGATTGAAATGGTAATTAAAAAATGGCCAAAAAAATCCAGGACCAGACAGATTCACAGCTGAATTCTGCCAAACATTCAAAGGAGAATTGGTATCAGTCCTGATTAAACTATTCCAAAAGATAGAGAAAGAAGGAATCCTCCTTAAATCATTCTATGAAGCCAGTATCACCCTAATACCCAAACCAGGAAAGGACATAACAAAAAAAGAAAACTACAGACCAGTATCTCTGAAGAACTTAGATGCAAAATTCCTCAACAAAACATTAGCTAACTGAATCCAAAAGCATATAAAAAAATTATCCACCATGATCAAGTGGGTTTCTTACCAGGGATGCAGGGATTGTTTAACACATACAAGTCAATAAATGTGATATGCCACATAAACAGAATTAAAAACAAAATCATATGGTCATGTTAGTAGACACAGAAAAAACATTTGACAAGATCCAACATCCCTTTATGATTAAACCCCTCAGCAAAATTGGCATCAAAGGAGCATACCTCAAGATAATAAAAGCCATCTATGACAAATCCACAGCCAACATTATACTGATCAGGGAAAAGTTGTAAGCATTTTCCCTGAGAACTGGAACGAGACAAGGATGCCAATTTTCACAACTTCTGTCGAAGTTCTAGCTAGAGCAATCAGACAAGAGAAAGATGTAAAGGATATCCAAATTGGTAAAAAGGAAGTCAAACTGTCGCTGTTCCCAATGATATGAGTCTATACCTAGAAAACCTTAAAGACTCGTCTAAAAAACTCCTCAATCTGATAAGTGAATTCAGTAAAGTTTTGGGATACAATATCAACGTACACAAATCAGTAGCACTGCTGTATATCAACAACGACCAAGCCGAGAATCAAGTCAAGAACTCAACCCCTTTTACAACAGCTGCAAACAAACAAACAAACAAAACAAAACAAACAAACAAACAAAAAACTATTTTGAATTTTTGGTCAGAGTGCTCACAAATTGCTGTTTAGTTGGGGTAAGTAACTGGATTTTTGCTTTGTCCCTTTGTGGCAGTCAGGTTTCCTGTTCGTGGTTGTTTCTTGTAGGTATATGTCTATATCTTTTCATTAAATGATTAATTGGTTATTTATGTCAGTTTTCTCTGTACAGATTTTACAAAAAAAATTGGCAATATGTGCTTAGTAAATATTTACTGCTCAGTTGCTTTGTCCTTTTCACCTTTAGGTCACACCTTAAGCCCAGTTTCACTTTGGCTCTAGTAAATAATAGAAGTGCTGCCTGTCCAGAATAGGAGAGATCTAATGGGATTATACAAGCCGTGTGGGAAGGCGGGCTAAGGAAGGGTTTGCACCCAAGAGACTAGTGAAATGTACCTTATACAGCTTGGTGCTGTTGAACAGTCACTCTAATTTGATGTATCCTTTGGCTGAGTTACACAGAAGTGTTTCCAGGACTGGGGATGGTACTCCCACTCCCCATTTTGTTTCTGCTTGTCCTCAGGGATATTTCTTCCTTCAGGCGGTTACAATGCTTCCTGTAGGTTAAGGCAAGAACAGATCTCCTGCCAGGGAACCCAGACTGGTGACAGAGCTTGTTTACCACCTCAATCTCACTTTCTCCAGTGTAGAAACTGCGAATTGGGGAAATAATTTTCATACACTTGTTGCCAAGCAGAATACAAGAGTAGGAGCACTGCAGATGTGGAAGTCTAATTCTCCTACCATCTGCTCAGGGGTTTTCCACTTCTCTGCAGCCCTGGGATCTGTCTCATCCTTATATTTGAGTTCTGGGTTGTTTCTGTTGAAAAACTTGGTGCTGTATTGTTTTTTGTCTTCTGTTGGTGGTGAAGAGTGAAGCCAGCTTGCTTATAATAAAGCTGACATTTTAAAACCGTTTAAGTTCTTGTTTAGGATATTTTCATATACTTTTATATATGAGATTGGCTGGTGTTTTTTCTTTCTTCTTTGTATTTGTTTTTGTGGTAAAAAGCATATAACATGAGATCTATAATGTTAATACATTTTTAATGTACAGCACAATATTGTTAACTATAGGAACAATGTTGTACAGATGATCTCCAGAACTTTCACATGTTGCACGTCTAAAACTCTATATTCATTGAACGGCAACTCCTCATTTCTTTTTTTCTACAGTCCCTGACAAACACTATACTATTTTTTTTTTTACATTGCATGGTTCAACAGGGATAAATTCAAATTGTTGATGGTGAATGATCATTTTGATGTGCTGTTATGTTTAGTTTGCTAGTATTTTATTGACGATTTTTGTATGTATATACATTAGGGATATTGACCTGTTGTTTTCTTCCTTTGTAGTGTCTTTTTCTGGCAAACCTCATGTAATGAGCTTGAAAATGCTCCTGCTCTTCAATTTTTTGAAAGAGTTTGAGAAGAATTGGCATTAATTATTCTTCAAATGGTAAAATTAATGAGTGAAAAAACCTGGACTTGGGTTTTTCTTTGTTGTGAGGTTTTGATTACTGATTCAAGTTCATTATTTATAGGTCTGTTTGTGTTTTCTACTCATAGTGCCGTCTATAATTCCCACGTGTTATGAGAGGGACCCAGTGGGAGATAATTGAATCACGGGGGCAGTTTCCCCCATACCGTTCTCGTGGTAGTGAATAAGTCTTGTGATATCTGATAGTTTTATAAGGGGAAACCCTTTTTTGCTTGGATCTCGTTCTCTTGCCTGCTGCCATGTAAGATACGCCTTTCACCTTCTGTCATGATTGTGAAGCCTCCCTAGCCACGTGGAACTGTGAGTCCATTAAACCTCTTTTTCTTTATAAATTACTGTTTGGTGTATGTCTTTATCAGGAGCATGAAAACTGACTAATAACATCACATCATATTTAATGATGAAAAGCTGAAATATTTTCCTCTAATGTCAGAAAAAAAAACAAGTAAAACAAGTATGTTTATAGGAGTTGATCCATTTTTTTTCTAGGTTATCCATTTTGTTGGTGTGTACTTTGTTCATAGTAGTCTCTTGTAATCCTGTTTATTTTTATGGCATCAGTTGCAATGTATCTTTAATTTCTAATTTTATTTAATTGCACTTTCTCCCTTTTTTCTCTGTTAATCTAACTACATGTTTTTCAACCTTATTGGTCTTCTAAAAAAATCAATCCCTAGTTTCATTGGTTATTTTCTCTTCTCTGTTTCATTTATTTCTGCTGCAATTTCATTTTATTTCTTTTGCTAACTCTAAGCAGAGTTTGTTTTTCATTTTCTAGTTCCTATGGGCATAAACTTAGATTGTTAAGAGATGTTTCTTCTTTCTAATATAGGCACTTATCAAAATAAAGTTTTATGTTAATACTGCTATAGTAATATCATATAAGTTTTGGCAAACATCCTATAAGTTTTGGCAAATGACAGTGTTTTGTATTTAATTTGTGTCAATACATTTTCTATTTTTTCTTTTACTTTTTGTTTTTAGTTATTTGGCTATGCATAAGTATATTGTGTAACTTCCACATATTTGTAAATTTTGCTATTTTCTTCAGCCACTTTTATTCTGTCATGGTTAAAAAATACACCTGGTATGATGTCAATCTTCTTAAATTTGTTTTGTGGCATAAGATGTGACCTATCTTGGAGAATGTTTCTTATGCACTTGAGAAGAATGTTTATGATGTTGCTTTTGGGTGGAATGTTCTGTATATGTCTTTTAGATCTATTTGATCCATAGTGTTGTTTACATCCTCTTTTTTGTTTGTTTGTTTGTTTGCTTGCTTGTTTTTGAGACAGGGTGTCCCTCTGTCGCCCAGGCTGGAATACAGTGGCGTGATCTCAGCTTTTTCCAACCTCTACCTCCTGAGCTCAAGTGATCCTTCCACCTCAGCCTCCCAAGTGACTGGGAATACAGGCACAAGCCACCACGCCTAGATAATTTTTGTATTTTTTGTAGAGACAAGGTTTGCCATGTTGCCCAGGTTGGTCTCGGACTCCTAACCTTAAGCAATCTGCCCACCTCAGCCTCCCAAAGTGCTGGGATTACAGGAGTGAGCCACTGAACCCAGCCACATACTCTGTTTTTGTATTCATCTTCTGCGTAGATGTTCAACCTGGGATTGAAAGTGGAATATTGAAATCCCCTACTATTATTCCTACTGATATTCTGTTGCCTATTTCTCCCTTCAGTTCTTTCAATATTTGCTTTATATTTTGGGGTCTCCCGACATCTGGTGTGCGTGTGCATATGTGTTTATTTTAGGTTCAAGGGTACATGTGTAGTTTTATTATATAGGTAGATTGTGTATCACAGGGGTTGGTGATACAGATTATTTAATCATCCAGGTAATAAGCATAGGATATAATAAAATGATAGTTTTTCAATCCTCATCCTCCTCCCTTTGTCCACCCTCAAATAGGCTCCAGTGTCTGTTGTTTCCTTCTTTGCGTTCATGTGTACACAGTGTTTAGTGCCCACTTATAAGTGAGAACATGTGCTAGTTTGCTAAGCATAGTGGCCTCCAGCTCCATCCATGTTGCTGAAAAGGGCATTATCTCATCCTTCTTTATGGCTGAAGAGTATTCCATGGTATATGTGTACCACATTTTCTTTATCCACTCTACCATTGATGGGCATTTTGGTTGATTTCATGTCTTTGCTGTTGTGAATAGTGCTGCGATGAACATGTGTGTGCATGTGTACTTATGATAGAACGATTTATATTCCTTTGTGTATATAACCGATAATAAGATTGCTGGGTCAAATGGTAGTTCTATTTTAAGCTTTGAGAAATCACCAAACTGTGTTCCACAATGGCTGAAATAATTTACATTCCCACTAGCAAACTATAATCATTCCATTTTCTCTGCAACCTTGTCAGCATCTGTTATTTTTTAACATTTAGTAATAGCCATTCTGACTGGTGTGGAATGGTATCTCATTGTGGCTTTTATTTGCATTTCTCTAATGATTAGTGATTTTGAGCATTTTTGTTCGTATGCTTATTGACCACTGTATGTCTTCTTTTGAAGATTATCTGTTCAAGTCCATTGCCCACTGTTCAGCGGCATTGTTTATTATTATACTTGTTAATTTAAATTTCTTCTAGATTCTGGATATTAGACTTTTGTCAGATGCATGGTTTCCAAACATTTTCTTATTCAGATTTCTTTATTCAGATTTCTTATTTCTTATTTCTTTGTCAGATGCATGGTTTCCAAACATTCTCTAATTTATCTGTTTACTCTGTTGATAGTTTCTTTTGCTGTACAGAATCTCTTTAGTTTAAACAGGTCCCATTTGCCAATTTTTGTTTTCATTGTAATTGCTTTTGGCTTTTTCTCCATGAAATCTTTTCCAGAGCTTATGTCCAGAATTGTATTTCCTAGGTTTTCTTCAAGGATTTTTATAGTTGTAGGTTTTACATTTAAGTCTTTAATCCATCTGGAGTTGGTATTTTTATATGATGTAAGTAAGTGGTCTACTCCCTTCCATCTTCTGCAAATGGCTAGCCAGTTATTCCAGCACCATTTATTGAATAGGGAGTTCTTTCCTCATTGCTTATTTTATTGACTTTGTCAAAGATCATATGGTTGTAGGTGTCTGGCTTTATTTCTGGACTATTTTCCGTTCCATTGGCCTATGTGTCTGTTTTTGTACCAGTACCATGCAGTTTTGATTACTATACCCCTGTAATATAGTTTGAAGTTAGGTAATGTAATATAGTTCGAAGTTAGGTAATGTGATGCTTCCAGTTTGTTCTTTTTGCTTAGGACTGATTTGGCTATTCAGGCTCTTTTTTTGGTTCCCTGTGTACATAAAAACAGTTTTTTTTCTAATGATTTAGGAAATACCATTGATAGTTTGATAGAAATAGCTTTGAATTTGTAAATTGCTTTTGGCAGTATATCCATTTTTAACGATACTGATGCTTTCTCTTCATAAGCATGTAATGTTTTTCCACTTGTTTGTGAATTCTCTGATTTGTTTCAGCAATGTTTTGTAATTCTCATCGTAGATATCTTTTCCCTCCCTGGTTAGCTATATACATAGGTATTTTATGCTTTTTGTGTCTATTGTGAATAGGATTGTTTTCTTGATTTGGCTCTCAGCTTTGTTGTGGTGTGTTTACAGAAATATTACTTACTTTTGAGCATTGGTTTTGTGTACTGAAACTTTGTTGAAGTGGTTTATCAGATCTAGGAGCTTTTGGCAGAGACTATGGTATTTTCTAGGTGAAGAATCATGTTGTCTGCAAACAAATAGTTTGACATCCTATTTAGATAGCTTTTATTTCTTTCTCTTGCCCAATTGCTCTGGTTTGGTCTTCCAATACTACCTTGAATAGGAGTGGTCAGAGTGGGAATTCTTGTCTTGTTCTGGTTCTCAACAGGAATGCATCGGCTTCTGCTTATTCAGTATAATGTTGGCTGTGGGTTTGTCAGAGATGGCTTTTATTATTTTGAGGTATGTTCCTTCAATACCTAGATTGTTGCAAGTTTTTTAATATGAAGGAATGTTGAATATTATAGAAAGCTGTTTCTGCCTCTGTTGAGATGATCTTTTTTTTTGTTTTTAGTTCTGCTTATGTGATGAATTTCATTTACTGATTTGTGTATATTGAACCAACCTTATGTCACAGAGATAAAGCCTACTTGATCATGGTGGATTAGCTTTTTGGTGGGCTGTTGGATTCAGTTTGCTAGTATTTTTTGAGGTTTTAAATCCATATTCATCAAGGATTTTGGCCTAAAGTTTTCTCTTTTTTTATTGTGTTTCTGCCAGGTTTATCAGAATGATGCTGCCCTCATAGAATAAATTAGGGAGTCCCTCTTTCTCATTTTTGGGGGGAATATTTTCAGTAAAAATGGTACTAACTCTTCCTTATACACCTAGCAGAATTCATCTGTGAATCTGTCTGGTCCTTTTAGTTGGTAGGCTTTTTCTTACTAATTCAACTTTGGAATGCATTATTGGTCTTTTCAAGGATTCAGTTTCTTTCTGATTCAATCTTGGAAAGTTGTACATTTCCAGGCATTTGTCCATTTTTCTAGGTTTTCCAGGTTGTGTTCATAGAGGTGTTTGTAGTAGTCCTGAGGGTTTTTGGTATTTCTGTGGCATCAGTAGTAAAGTCCCCTTTGCCATTTCTGATTGTGTTAATTTGGATCAGCCTGTGATCTATCAATCTTATTTATTCTTTCTAAGAATCAGCTCCTGGGTTCATTGATTTTTTTTGTATAGTTCAGTTCTGATTTTGGTTATTTTTTGTCTTCTGCTAGCTTCGGGGTTGGTTTGCTCTTGTTTTTCTAGTTCCTCTAGGTGTAATGTTACATTGTTAACTTGAAGTCTTTCTAAATGTGGGTATTTAGCACTATAAGCTTTTCTCCTAAAACTGCTGTAACTATGTTCTAGAGATTCTTGTATGATGTAGCTTCATTCAAATTAGCTTGAAAGATTTTTTTGTTTTTTTATTTAATTTTGTTGTTCACCCCAAAGTCATTCTGGAATAGGTTGTTTAATTTCCATGGAATCGTATGGTTTTCTGTTCTATAGATGTCTGTCAGGCCCATTTGGTCAAGCATAAAGTTCAGTTCCCAAATATTTTTGTTAGTTTTCTGCCTCGATGATCTGTCTTATACTGTCAATGAGATGTTTATGTTTCCCACTATTTTTGTGTAGTTATCTAAGTCTCTTCATAGGTCTGTAAGGCTTGCTTTATGAATCTGGATGCTCCTGGGTTGAGTGCACACATATTTAAGATACTTAGGTTTTTCTGTCGAATTGAACCCTTTACAATTGTGTAAAGTCCTTATTTGTCTTTTTGATATTTGTTTGTTTAAACTCTGTTTTGTCTGAAATTAAAACTACAACCCTGTTTTCTTTTTCTGTTTTCTGTTTGCTTGGTTCATTTCTCTCCATCTCTATATTTTGAGACTATGAATGTCATTGTATGTGAGATGGGTTTCTTGAAGATCTCATACAGTTCATTCAGTCTTGCATTTTTAGCCAGCTTGCTACTCTGTGCCTTTTAATTTGGGCATTTGTCCCATTTACCTTCAAAGTTAATATCAATATTTGCAGATTTGATCCAGTCAATGTGTTTTTAGCTGGTTATCATGTAGACTTCATTGTGAAGTTGCTTTATATTATCAATTGTGTATGTGGTTAAGGTCTTAAGTGTGTTTTTGTGGCATCCAGTAATGGTCTTTTCTGTTCATATTTAGCATTCACTTAAAGACAGGGCTGGTGGTAATAAATTTCCATAGGATTTGCTTATCTGAAAAGGATCTTAGTTTTCCTTTGCTTATGAAAGCTTGGTTTGACTGGATATGAAATTCTTGGTTGGAATTTCTTTAAGAATGCTGAACCTAGGCCTCCAATATATTCTGGCTTGTAGGGCTTGTGCTGAAAGTTCCACTGTTAGCCTGCTGAGGTTCCCATTGTAGGTGTCCAAACCCTTCTCTCCAGAGGCCTTTACCTTTTTTTCTTTCATTTCAACCTTGGAGAATCTGATGACTATGTGTCTTGGGGATGGTCATCTCTCCCTGGGGTTCTCTGTATTTCCTGAATTTGAATGTTGGTCTCTCTAGCGAGGTTGGGGAAATCTTTATGGGTAATATCCTCAAATATGTTTTTTGAGTTGCTTGCTTTCTCTCCCTCTCTTTCAAGGATGTCAATGAGTCATAGATTTGTCATCTTTACATAAATTCATATTGCTCAAAAGTTGTGTTTTTCTTTATTGCTTTTTCTTTATTTTTTTTTTGAATGACTTATTTCAGAAGGCCAATTTTCGAGCTCCGAGATTCTTTCCTCAGCTTGGTTGATTCTGCTGTTAATATTGGCAATTATATTATGAAATTCTTGAAGTTAGTTTTTCAGTTCTATCAGATCAGTTTGATTTTATCTTAAAATGACTATTTCCTCTTTTAGCTCCTGTATCATTTTATTGTATTCCTTAGATTCCTTGAATTGGGTTTTCACTTTCTCCTGAATCTCAGTGATCTTCATTTCTATCCATATTCCAAATTCTATGTCTGTCATTTCAGCCATTTCAGTCTGATTAAGATCCATTGATGGGAAAGCATTATGGTTGTTCTAAGGTAAGAAGGGAATCTGGCTTTTTGAGTTGCTGGAGTTCTTGTGAAGATTCTTTCTCATATCTACAGGCTAATGTTCCTTCAATATTTGAAATTACTCTCCTTTGGATGGAACTTTTTGCTTTTACCTTCTTTGATGTCTTTTGGGGTTTAATTGTGGTATAAGTTGGGTTCAGTTAAATGGTTTTATTTCTGGGAGATTTTAGGGGACCAAGGCTCAATTCAGCACTCCAGAGCTGTGTTCTCTAACTTTGGGGGACTTGAACGAGGCCTTTGGCTTTTTTCCTCTGGCCTCTCAGGTTAGGAACCTGTTGTGCTGGAGCAGCTGAGGTGTTTCTGGTCTGCTGACAACATTTTAATAGGTGGTGCCAGCCAAAGCACTTCGTCATGGCAGTGGCAGTGGGAACCATGCTCGCCTGCACATGCCAGCAGACATGGCAGTGCTGTGGGGTGCTTGCATATCTGCTGGGGCAGGGCATCTTGTACCTATGTTTTTATAATTGCTATATATTCCTGGTGAACTGACACTTTCATCAATGTATAATGGTCTCTTTATCTCTTTTGACAATTTTTGACTTAAAATCTATTTTTTTCTGATATAATTATGTCCAACCTGCTCTCTTTTGTTAGCACTTGCATGGGATATATTTTCCCATCTTTTCACTTTCAGCCTATGTGTGTTATTAAATCTAACACAAATCTCTTATAAATATAATATAGAGGTTGTGTATCTTTTATTAAAAATGTTTGGGACAAGAAGTGTTTTTAGATTTTGGATGTTTTGGGATATTGAAATATTTGCATTGCTATTACTGGTTAGACATGCCTAATTCAAAAATTCAAAATCTGAAATGATGCAAGGAGCATTTCCTTTGAGCATCATATTAGCACTCAAAAAGTGTTGGTATCTGTAGCATTTAAAATTTTGGGTTTTTGCATTAGTGATGCTTGGTTTATAGTTATAACTTTGAAAAAATCCATTCAGCCACTTTATTATTTAATTGGGGATTTTAATCCATTTTGTTACAGTAATTCTTGATAATGAGGGACTTGCTATTGACATTTTTATTAATTTTTCATTGTCTCTGTTGTAGCTATTTTTCTCTCTTTTCCTCTCCTGTTGTATTCCTTTGTACAGTGTTGATTTTTTTGTGATTACATGTTTTGGTTCCTTCCTCATTTTCTCTTGTGTATATTCTATTGATCTGTCCTTAGTGCTTACCATGGGTCATACATAAAACACCTTATAGTTATAACAACCTATCTTAAGCAGATGACAACTTAACTTCAATTGCATGCAAATAGTGTACACCTTTACTTCTACCCCACACTTTATGCTATTAATGTCAAAAATTGCATTTTTATATTTTGTTTCCACTGACATTTTTACAGTAACATTTATTTTTGAACTTTTGTCTTTTATCTTCTATAGCAGAATTAAAACAGGATTTGTTTATCACCATTATAGTATTAGAGCATTCTTCATTTTTCTATATATTTACTTTTACGAATGAGTTTTATACTTTTATATGTTTTTGTGTTGCTGTTTAGAATGTTTTTATTTCACCTTGAATGACTCCTCTTGGCATTTCTTGTAAGGCAAGTGTAGTGTTGGTGAACTCCTTCAGCTTTTCTTTGTTATAGCAAGTATTTCTCCATCATTGTTAAAGGATAGTTTCCCTAATAGAGTATTTTTTGGTGGGCAGTTTGTTTTTAACTTTCAGCACTTTGAATATATCATTCCGCTTTCTTCTGTTCTGAAATGTCCCTGCTGAGAAATCCACTTATAGTCTTATTGTAGTTATTTTGTATGTGTCAAGACTTTTCTCTTGCTATTATAAAAAAAATGCTGTCTTACTTTTGACAATTTGATTATCTTGGTGTGGATTTCTTTGGATTCACTCTAGTTAGAGTTTGTTGGACTTCTTTAATATGTATGTCCATTTTCTTTCCCAGATTTAGGAAGCTTAGGACTACTATTTCTTGGAATAAGCTTTTTCCTTCTTTTCTCTCATTTTTCTTTCTAGAACTTTCTTAATTCTTAATTTGTTCCTCTTGATTGTCTTCCATAAGTTCCTTAGCGTTTTTCCCTATATTTCATTTTATTTTATTTTCGTTCTTATGACTGCATAATTTCAAATGACTGATTTTTGATTTTGCTAATTCTTACTTCTGTTTGATCTTGCCTGCTGTTGGGTTCTTCTTCTGAATGGTCCAGTTCAGTTTTTTGTACTCTTTAACTCTAAAATTTGTTTGCTTTTTAAAAAATATGTTCTATCTCTTTGTTTGTATTCTTATTTTCTTCATGAATGGTTTTCTTGAGCTCACAGAGCATCTTTATTATGATTGTTTTGAACTTGTTTCAGGTAAGTTGTATATCTCCATTTTTTAAAGATCAATTTCTGGAGATTTATATTGTTCCATTTTTTTCAAAGTTTAAAAGTGTTAGTTGTATTTAATTGCAAGTTCCAATTAATTCTAATTCTAATTCTAAATATGATTTCATGATTACCTATGCTCTTCTACTTTTGTATTTTTTGTATAGTACATTCATTTAATATTTGTGATTCCTAAAGAATTTTGGACTGGCAACACAGATTCTTAAGCAAGAATCAATAATTATTTATATTTGTTGTTAATTCTTATGTTTCTCATATAAACATACAATTTAGATATTCTTAGCCACCCTCTCAGGTTGATAATGCACACATAAAGTGAAATACATTTTAACATAATTTCAGAGATTGCTATAATTTTCATTCAGGGTTGATTTTTTAAGCCACTTTAAAACAATTTTTTTTCAACTTTTATTTTAGATTCAGAGAGTACATGTGCAGGTTTGCTATGTTGGTAAATTGTGTGTCATTGAGGTTTAGTTTACAAATAATCCTCTCACCCAGGTAGTGACATGAATAGACACTTTGCAAAAGAAGACATACAAGTGGCCAAGAAACAGATGACAAAATGCTCAACATCATTAATCATTAGAGAAATGCAAACCAAAACCACAACAAGTTACCATCTCATACCAGTTGGAATGGTCATTATTAAAAAGACAAAAAATAACAGATGTTGGTGAGGTTGCAGAGAAAAGGGAACTCTTTCTCCCTGTTGGTGGGAATGTAAATTAGTTCAGCCACTGTAGAAAGTAGTTTGGTGATGTGTCAAAGAATGTAAAACAGAACTACCCCTTGACCTTACAATCTCATTATTGGGTAGGTACTCAAAGGAATATAAATCATTCTACCAAAAAGATATATGCACTAGTATGTTTATCACAGCACTAGTCACAATAACAACGACATGGAATCAACTTCAACGATTACCTTCAAGGGCAGACTGGATAAAGAAAATGTGGTACATATATAGCATGGAATACTATGCAGCCATAAAAAATAAAATTATGTACTTTGCAGCAATATGGATGCAGCTGGAGGTCATTATCTGAAGCAAATAGCACAGAAACAGAAAACCATGTTCTCACCTATAAGTGGAAGCTAAACATTGTGTCCAAGTTGACATAAAAATGGAAACAGTAAACACAGGGGACTACTAGAGGAAGAAGGGTGGGAGGTGAGTGAGGGTAGAAAAACTACCTATCAAGTATTGTGCATCATTTTTTAAAGCCATGTTTCCTGGCTTCTTTGTGTGTCTCACAACTTTGTACTCGGTTCTGCACATTAGAAAAAAAGTCACCTTTCCCAGTACTTAGGGACTGGCTTCATACCAGGAGGGACCCTCACCAATTAGCCTATCTTTAGATTCTGAGGGCCTCTGAAACCAGTTTTGGAGGGATGTCACTTCTCTGGGTATGGGCATGCAATTTCTCAATTGCTTGGGCTCATAGCTGGTAATTTCTTGCTCCCTCTGGTGTCTGTTTGTGGCACTCCAAGTTGTCTGCTTCTGTAATGGCATTACACATCCTCTTTTGTTCTTATCATCCACTAGGCACCCAAATTATGTCAGCTCTTTATCAGTGTCTCAAGTAAAATGAGACAGATGCTAATCCCTTAGGCAGCCCTTTAAAACTATGAAACAGTGGATAAAAATTTCAGTCTTCTCCCTCCCTTTCATGGGAGGAGCCTCAGATTTTGCACCTTCTCTTGATTTTGCCAATCTGTGCTGGCCTCAGTAAGCTGCCCCTCCTGCTCATCTTTGCTTTTAGTAGCCCCTAGGCATCCAAACTATGCCAAGCCCATCAGCACTCTGAGTGAAATGAAAAGTCATTCTTTCAGGAAGGCTGCAGAAAAGCCAAAAATTTGTATACATTTTCCACTTTTTTCTCCCTCTCCCTTCCTCTAGGGAGAAATAACGAGCTGAGACATTTTTTTCTCTGGAACAACCTGTGCTGTCTTGGGAAGTGCCTAATGTTGGTAAATCTTAATTGCTCTTCTTTCCCATTTCAATGTGCCTGTTCTCAGCTCTATGCTTACCTGGGGTACAGCAAATTCCTATCTGGAGTTTGGAAATATCATAAAAGTATTTTGGTCTATATATAATTGTTCAATTGTTGCTTCTGTGGGACTTCCTATTCTGCTATCTTTTTGATGTCACCGTCTGCTTTGTGTGGTTTTGATATTAAGAATATGTGAGCCTCATAAAATGAATTGTGAAACATTTCTGCTTTCTCTATTCTTTGGGAGAACTTATGTACGATTAAAGTTTCTTCCTCTTTGAATGTTCAGTAGAATTCAGCAGTGAAGTAACCTGGTTATGAATTTCCATTTCCGTAGTGGATAGCTTTTGCTTATGAATTCAATTTTCAATCAGTTATAGAAAAATTCAGTCTTTCTGTTCCTCTTTTGGGTAGTTTTGGTAATGTCTGCTTCTAGAAATATGTTCAACTAGATTTTCAATCTGGTGTGTCATACATTTATCAGTTATAATCTCTTATCTTTATAATTACTGCAGAAATTGTGATTTTGCCACTGCTTTATTCCAGATGCTGGTTAACTGTTCTTATTTTCTTTTATTCTTGCTCATTTGTGAGAAGTGTGTTTATTATTTACCTTAGAGCAAACTAATTTTTACCTTCATTGTTTTTCCCTATTGTAACATTGTTTTTTCATTAATTTCTGCATTTATCTTATTTTCCTTTCTATATATTTGGGTTTATTTTAATATCAATAACTTATTTTCTTAGGAAATATTATTAGCTAATTAATCTCCATATTTTTTCTAACATAAAATTGTAAGGCTCTTTATTTTTATCATGTTCTGCATCAGCTGCATTTCACAAGTTCTGATATTTGTTAACTTTATTACCATTCAGTTAAAACTTTTTTCATTATCTATCTTCTGCTATTTAAGTATTTAAAGGTATATTCTTAATTTCCATACATATGGAAATTTTTTTGTTTGTTATTGGTTTCAAGCACACTTGCATTGTGACATGAGAATGTATTTTGTATTATTTTAGTTCTTTTATATGTGTTAATGTTAGCTTTGGGGCCACAAATGCGGTCTTTTTATTTCCAAGTATTTAATATATTCTTGAAAAAAATGAGCACTCTGCAGTTTTGTATGCATAGATAGAAACATATCTGCATTAAGTTTGCTAATTGTGTTATTTAAATCTATATTCTTAATGATTTTTTTGTCTCTCTATCTCTGTAACAAACAGAGAAGTTTGTTAAAGTCTTCTATTATGATTGTGAATTTGCACTATCAAGTTTTGCTTTATGGTATTAGGTGTACACTCACAGATAACTTTTATTTCATCCTGATGAAATAAATGTTTTATCATAATATTTTGATCTCTGTTTCTAGTCATCTTTTTGCCCTATCATTTATATTTGGCTGATGTTTTTATAGCCAAATCTGCTTTATTTTATTTCCTGCTTTAATGGTCTTTTTGTCTCTTTATTTTAGCATTTTTGTATCTTTATGTTTTAAATCTGTTATTTGCAGTTAATATTAATTTGAGCTTTCTTTTTTTTCCAGTGTGACAATTTTTTTAAATGATAGCATTTTGTCCATTTATGTTTAATGTGATTAATGATACATTTGCTATTTAAATCTACAGTCTTATGTTGTGCTTTTAATGCCTTATCTTTTCTACTTTCTTTTTCTGTCTTTAAATGCTTCATTTTTAATGTATTAAGTAATTTTTGTTATTATTTACATTCCCTTTTTTTTGTTTGGAAGTCATAAACACTTCATTTAGTTACTTTAAAATGTATTATACATGTCTTTTACAAGAAAAAAACAAACAACCCCATCAAAAAGTGGGCAAAGGACACGAACAGACACTTCTCAAAAGAAGACATTCATACGGCCAACAAACATATAAAAAAAGGTCAACTTCACTATTCATCAGAGAAATGCAAATCAAAACCACATTGAGATACCATCTCATGCCAGTCAGAATGGCGATTATTAAAAAGTCAGGAAACTGATGCTGGAGAGGCTGTGAAGAAATAGGAATACTTTTACACTGTCTGTGGGAATGTAAATTAGTTCAACCATTGTGGAAGACAGTGTGGTGATTGCTTAAGGATCTAGAACCAGAAATACCATTTGACTGAGCAGTCCTATTACTGGATATATACCCAAAGGAATATAAATCATTCTATTATAAAGATACATGTACGTGTATGTTCATTGCAGTACCATTCACAATAGCAAAGACATGGAATCAACCTAAATGCCCATCAATGATAGACTGGATAATGAAAATGTGGTATGAGTACACCATGGAATACTATGCAGTCATAAAAAATGAGTTCATTTCCTTTGCAGGGATATGGATGAAGCTGGAAGCCATCATCCTCAGCAAACTAACACAGGAACAGAAAACCAAACACCTCATGTTCTCACTTATAGGTGGGAGCTGAACATTGAAAACACATGGGCATGGGGAGGGAAACAACACACAGCAGGGCCTGTTGGGGGGTGGGGGGTGAGGGGGGTGTGTCAGGGTGAAGGGAGGGTACTTAGAAGACGGGTCAATAGGTGCAGCAAACCACCATGGCACACGTATACCTATGTAACAAACCTGCATGTTCTGTTCATGTATCCTGCTTTTTTAGAAGAAATAAAGGAAAAAATATATATCTTTACATTATGAAAACTGAATGATAATATATACTACCCTTATCCAGGACAATATGAGGAATTTATAACATTTTAACTGTTTTTTTCCTCTGTTCCTGACTCTAATGCTGTGTACTATATTTTAATCCTTCTCTTTTTCCTCTTTCTCTTCTCTCGTTTTTACTCTCTCTCTCCCTCTCTCCACATATACATATATTAGCACAAGATATCATATTCTTATACATCGAATATTAACATAGATTTTCCTACATATTTAAGATTTTCATTTTTTCCCATAACTGTGATTACTTATTTAATTTTTTTTTTATTTCTAACTGATGAATATTTTAGTATTCCCTTTAGTGTATGGTTTCTTGTGGTGAGCATTCTCAGTCGTTGCCTGAAATTGTAATTTATCTTGTCTTCATTCTTTTTTTTATTATTTATTTTTTTTGATACGGAGTCTTGCTCTGTCGCCCAGGCTGGAGTGCAGTGGCGCAATCTCAGCTCACTGCAAGCTCCATCTCCCAGGTTCATGCCATTCTTCTGCTTCAGCCTCCCAAGTAGCTGGGACTACAGGTGCCCACCACCATGCCCGGTTATTTTTTTTTTTTGTATTTTTCATAGAGACGGGGTTTCACCATGTTAACCGGATGGCCTCGATCTCCTGACCTCATGATCCACCCGCCTCAGCCTCCCAAAGTGCTGGGATTACAGGCGTGAGCCACCACGCCTGGCCTATCTTGTCTTTATTCTTGAAGGACATTTTCCTTGAATAGGTTGGCAGTTATTTCCTAACAGTACATTGAAGATAATGTTCCCTTGTCTTTTGTCTTCCACTGAAGCTATTAAGAAATCAGATGTATTTCAGTGTGGCGATTCCTCAGGGATCTAGAACAAGAAATGCCATTTGACCCAGCCATCCTATTACTGGGTATATACCCAAAGGACTATAAATCATGCTGATATAGACACATGCACATGTATGTTTATTGCAGCACTATTCACAATAGCAAAGACTTGGAACCAACCCAAATGTCCAACAATGATAGACTGGATTAAGAAAATGTGGCACACATACACCATGGAATACTATGCAGCCATAAAAAAGGATGAGTTCATGTCCTTTGTAGGGACATGGATGAAGCTGGAAACCATCATTCTCAGCAAATTATTGCAAGGACAGAAAACCAAACACCGCATGTTCTCACTCATTGGTGGGAATTGAAAAATGAGAACATTTGGACACAGGAAGGGGAACATCACACACCGGGGCCTGTTGAGGGGTGGGGGGAGGGGGGAGGGATAGCATTAGGAGATATACTTAATATAAACGATGAGTTAATGGGTGCAGCACACCAACATGGCATATGTATACATATGTAACAAACCAGCATGTTGTGCACATGTACCCTAGAACTTAAAGTATAATAAAAAAGTAAAATGAAAACAATGAAATAGGACCCCTACCTCAAAAAAAAAAAAAAAGAAATCAGATGTCTTCTTAACTGCTGTTTCTTTGAAGGTAAACTGTTTTATATTCTGACAAATATTAAAATATATTTATTTTTGGTTTTTCATAGATTCTCTATGGTGTGTGGATTTCTTTTAATTTTTCTGCTTGGAATTTTTTGGAGGTATTGAAATTATGAATTACCAGAAATAGTTTTTTCTAGCATTGACTATGTATATTTTTTCCCTTCCCTCCTGGTGGGACTCCAATTAACAGTATCAGATTGTATTTTTTATGTATCATCATCTCTTTCATATTTTTTATCATAATGTCTCTTAAGAATTCATTTTGCATAATTTCTTCTGACTTTTTCTCCAGTTCACTAAGCTTATATTCAGCTGTGTATGATTTATTGTGTAGCCCAATCATTCAGTCCTTAATTTATCATAGTATTTTTCAAGTCCAGAATTTTGGTTTGTATTTGTTTATATCAGTTCTGTTTCACTTTCCTGCTAAAAGTTTCAAGCTTGATGGTTATTTCCTTGAATAAAATATGCATAGTTGTTTTACCGGATGTGTGCATAATACCAATATCTGAAATCCTTTTGTGTCTTTCTTTTCTGTTTTCTTCTTCTGTTTCTAGCATGTGAGGTCTTTTTGTGTGTGTGTTTAGCTGTCTCTATATGTGTTCTGCACATTAACTGCATTTTGTACAAATAATTTGAAGCCTGGGATGATTCTATCTTTCTCCAAAGATGATGTCAGTTTGCTTTTGTTAGGTTCCCGGGGACAATAGCAAGTCAGCAAGTTCAAGGCTTATTGTTTTCTGGACCTCAAATTCAGGCTGCAATTTTGTGAAGGTTAGTTTCCTTCTGTCTTGCCCTTGCACCTAGTGTTTAACCCCTTACTTTTTTAATCCAAATTAAAGCAAAATATGTTGGGCCTCCATCCTTTGCAGACTCTGCACTTCGAATTGTTTTCTGTCTAATGTTGGGAGACAACTAAATACTCAGTTCAGTTTTTCAGCTGCTTATTCTAGATCTGAAAATACCTCAAGGGTAAAACTAGCTTTGGTTCTTTTCCCTTGCCATATCTCAAACCAGAAATTTCTCATTATCGTCCAATTTTTTTTTATGATTTTAAGAACACTGAAAATGTTTTTTCTAGCTTTGTGAAAATCAAAAGCCAGAGAAAATTAAGTTAAATCAACTTGCCTGCCCTTATAAAAAGCACGTGTCTTCAGAGGATTTTATTTTTATCTTTTTCCTGCTTCTTGACTGTGCTATGGAATGTGAGTCTTAGTAATACATTGACTTTCAGAAACATATGTTTTTTAAAAATAACAATTTTTCCTTGCTAATGTGAACACTTTAATATTGGGTACTATACTTTGCATTTTTAGCATGTGGCACTGACATTTAATGAATATTTGATAAATGAATGAATCAATTAACTAAAAACAACATAGCAAGTATGTTCCAAATAATGAACATCTTACTACTATTATCCCATCATATTTTACTTTGCGTTTGGTCTGATACAACTCTAGATAGCTGTGACTACTAATGATATAAAATATATTAGAATGATTCTGTAGTGGAAACTAGCATCCACTAGAATCTTCTGAGACTGTAATAATAGTATCTTTTGGACAAAAATCAAATTCTACTTCAAGTTTCTAGATTAGTAATAGAAGTTTTGTTTAGAAACACACTTCTTTCATACTATGTCATATATCTGGACATTAAATGAAAGAAATTATCATTTTTTTCATTCATGGCAGCTCTCTTTCCAAGGTGATTTTGGTTGTCGCAGAATTTTAAGAATTATATTCAATTGTGTTTAATATATAAAGTGGAATAATCATTTCAGAAAATACAGCAGGTGCTATATATAGTAATTGTGGTAATGTTTTGGACAATATATTGGGGTGAAGGTAAGAGTGGTAAGGACTCCTAAAATGTCTAAATATATTTATTTACTGTTATAACATTTTTGAAATGAGTTATTCAAAAGGACAGATGAATAAAACAGCACCTACTGATTAATAATTGAAGAGCATCTGTGTTATGTGATATGCATTTGTAAACCATGCTAATATTTAGTATAGTTTATAGCTAACTATACATACTCAATTGCATTTTTTCTTCTTAAAAATACAATAAATTTTATGATTCTTTTTGTGTGCTTCTGAGAAAAGGGATTAGTTTTTGCATGTAAGGATAGAGGAAGAATAAGATCCAATTATAGGTCCAAGTAGGTTAGGCCCAGGTAAAGACCCCGTGACACCTCAAAAGGAGAATATGAGGTCACTGAGGATGTCTTGAAGCTATAGAGTAGTTAATATCAGAGAGGAGAGGAGTAATGAAAAGAAAGATTAACTAAATAATTAACACCTGGAACAGTAGAAGGCTTACCTTCAAAAACACAAGGGTAAATAACCCAATTTCTGCTCTCAGGCCATTCATCTTCTATTAGGGAGATGAACAACAACTATATTCAAATATTAACAACCAGGAATGCACAGGAACTGATGGATTGAAATGAACACAAGCCTTAGCTATGGCAGAGTTCTGGAGGACCCTTGCTGTTTTAGATATTAATCATTTAGTTGCCTGGTCACTGGAGGCTTTTTTTGGAGGGATGTCCTAAAAGTGCTAGGAGGCATATGAGGTGAGATTTAGGACACTGGATATTTACCAACCTGTACAGCATTATTTTATTTTTATTTTTATTTTATTTATTTAGAGACAGGGTCTTGCTGTGTTGCCCAGGCTGGGTCAAATTCTTGGGCTCAAGAAATTCTCCTGCCTCAGCCTCCCAAGTAGCTGGGACAATAGGCATGCACCACCTCACACAGCTGGAAGTATTTTATTATATTTATTTATTTATTTGAGACAGGGCCTCACTCTGTCCCCTAGGCTGAAGTTCAGTGGCATGATCACAACTTACTCCAGCCTCAACTTCCCAGGCTCAGGTGATACCCTTACCTCAGCCTCCCAAGTAGCTGGGACTACAGGCATGCACAACCATACCAGGCCAATTTTTTTTGTATTTTTTTGTGTAAATGGGGTTTTGCCATGTTGCCCAGGCTGGTCTCAAACTCCTGGGCTGAAGCAATTTGCCTGCCTCTGCCTCCCAATGTACTGAGATTACAGTCATAAGTCACCACACCCGGCCATATTTTAATATTATAACAACTATTAGGATTACATTAGGGCTTAATAAGCTCTGGGTTCAAGACATGCAAATAATGACAAAACATGATAGAGGTTTGTATAAAGTATTGCGCTCCATCTAGTGTTAGACCTCACAGTGGAAGTAACACTAACTGAGTCTTGGCGTATCAGTAAGAGTTAGACATGAAGGTAGCGCAGTAAGATCATCCTCTAATTACTCTGCTCAATTGGCATATCAGTTGAAAGGAAGTAGGTGACAGATAATGGTGTTAGGTAAGTAGGTAGGATAATTGATTTGCTCAAAGCCACACATTCAGTAAAGTAGAAGAGTGATTGCTTAAAACCTATCTCTGTCTAGCTCCAAAGATAATGCTTTTTCCACTATACTTGCATTTTTTTTTAATTTTTTTTTTTTGAGACGGAGTCTCGCTCTGTCGCCCAGGCTGGAGTGCAGTGGCGCGATCTCGGCTCACTGCGAGCTCCGCCTCCCCGGGTTCACGCCATTCTCCTGCGTCAGCCTCCCGAGTAGCTGGGACTACAGGCGCCCGCCACCACGCCCGGCTAATTTTTTGTATTTTTACTAGAGACGGGGTTTCACCCGTGTTAGCAAGGATGATCTCGATATCCTGACCTCGTGATCCGCCCGCCTTGGCCTCCCAAAGTGCTGGGATTACAAGCATGAGCCACCGCGCTCAGCCCTATACCTGCATTTTATTATGCTTCTTTTGTTGAGGGAGAATACTTTTTAAAATAAAATCTTATTCAGAATGTATACAAATTTTAAGATTTAATATGCTTTGTTTGAAGTAGGGCCTATGTTTCGCAGCCCCGTAGTTACCTCTCTGGTGAAATCCATTGCTCTACCTGCACACTTCTTCCCTCCCTCTCTCTCCCAATCCTGCACATTGCATGGGTAAAGATTTATGGGAACCCAGGAGAGAGTGGCTAATTCATTTGGTAGAAGACAGAAGAAGATTCATAATGGAGGTGTCATTAGACCTGGGCCTTGAATGAGAGAGAAACAGACATCCATCAACCAAAGAAGAGAGGAGTGAGACCACAAAAGAGATGGAGGAAGGAAATGATGATTCTAGGAGAGTAGTTTTGGCCTGCTTTTCGCTAAAGAACTTGGGCATTAACCAATAAGCAATAGGGAGTTGTTGAAAGATTTTCATCAGAAGAGTGCTGTAAGAAAACTTGCCTTTAGAAAAAATATTTCTGACTGCAGTGTGCAGAATGTCATGAAGGATCAGAAAGGCCAGATGATTGTAAGTCATCTAGGGGGAAATTGCTTCACCAAGAGATGAAGTGAGTCTGAACTTAATGCCCCTTAGGAGAAGATGACTCTCCCTTCTGAATTGTGGGGAGGTAACGGAAATGATTCATTGTTATCTGATTATTGTGTTCATGTATGGATATTTTAATTCAAAGCAAAATAAATCACCTGATGGGGTTTATTACAAGGTAAAATTAACCTTGCTTTCGTATGTTGTTTGATAATTTGGCCTTCCGTTCCTCATTGCCTTTGTAAATGCTATTCGTAAACTTTAAAAGACTCCAAATAGTTTTATGATATTTTCCTTAGCTTTGAAATTGGCTTCTCAGAAACAACAATTCAGCAAAATTATACAGGAGTCTATGACCCACACCCTTTGTATACGTTTAGTGAGTGTTCCAAGTTATGACTGGATACAACATGCGTAGCTTTTGGTGTGCCAAAGCACTCTTTAGACTCGTTTGTTTCCCACAGAGCAGGGGATGTAATCTGAAGGGTAGTGAGAAAATGTATTAAAATATATAATTTAATTACATAAATAAAATAATCTAATTTGTATATTACACATCATTTCTTGACCTTTTGGCTAAGATCAAGTGTAATTTATTTATTATATATGCTATATATTGTATATATTATTTTCTTTTAAATCCATTTTGACTACTGCTATTTCACTTTATTACATATCCTATATTGCCAGAATTCTCTACTTGGTTAAACTATATGCTCATAATTATTTCTGGAGTTTAGAGGTTTTTATTTATGTCAAAGAGGCTTCATGCAGAAAGAAGACATCGTGTGTGAACATTTTCTTCTTTTGATGATGAATGTGGTTCAAAAATATTCAGTCACAGAGAAGTTTGTACCAGACAAACTTCTGGTACAAACCCATGGGTTGTTCCTTTCCTTCAAGTTAAGTTGTAAAGAACACAGATGAAATTTAAATATTTTCCAGTAGGACTGATTTGGTGAGGATCATTCCACTTATAAGTTCATCTGTCCAAGGTAGTGTTATGTGACTGCAACATACAACAGTGCTGTATGTGGAAACAAAAGAAGGTTCTAACAAAGAACCCTTAATAGTTTAAGAATGCGCTCTTCACATCTTGTGGTGTAAGATTTGATTTATATACAGCCTTTGACCTGAAGATAATGGTGCCATTTCTTTCCTCTTCATCTTTCCACGTCTCATTATGATCTACTTGGGTTTGTACCAACCTATTTAGTTACCATTTCTTACTTCTTCAATTTTCCCATTTAATGCAAAATACCTCCATTTTGAAGACCATTTCTGGGGGAGGGATAGCGTTTTTCATGCCTCACTTATACACTTATGAATACTCATGGTATCAGCTCATTATATTATTTATTTATTTATTTATTTATTTTGAAACAGGGTCTGACTCTGTCACCCAGGCTGGAGTGCAGTGGTGTGATCATAACTCACCGCAGCCTTGAACTCCTGGACTCAAGTAATTACCCTGCCTCACCTTCCCAAGTAGCTAGGACTATAAGACTATACCCGGCTAATATTTTTTAAAATTCATTTCAATAGTTTGGGGGGAACAGGTAGTTTTTGGTTACATGGATAAGTTCTTTTTTTTTTTCTATTTTTCTTGGATATTATATTTCTTTTCTTTATATACATATTTTTTTTTATACTTTAAGTTCTAGGGTACATGTGCACAACATGCAGGTTTGTTACATATGTATACATGTGCCATGTTGGTGCGCTGCACCCATTAACTCGTCATTTACATTAGGTATATCTCCTAATGCTATCCCGCCCCCCTTCTTTAGTGGTGATTTCTGACATTTTGTTGCATCCATCACCTGAGCAGTGTACACTGTACCACTGTGTAGTCTTCTATCTCTCAGCCCTCTCCCAACCTTTCCCCCAAGTCCCCAAAGTTCATTATATCATTCTTATTCCTTTGCATCCTCATAGCTTAGCTCCCACTTATAAGTGAGATCATACAATACTTCGCTTTCTATTCCTGAGTTACTTGGCTTAGAATAATGGTTCCCAACATCATCCATGTTGTTGCAAATGTCAATATTTCCTTTCTTTATATGGTTGAGTAGTATTCCATAGTGTGCGTGTGTGTGTGTTTGTGTGTGTGTACCACGTTTTCTTTATCCACTCATTGGTTGATGGACAATTAGGTTGGCTCCATATTTTTGTACTTGCGAATTGTGCTGCTGTGAACATGCATGAGTGACTTTTTCATATAATGATTTATTTTCCTTTGGGTAGATACCCAGTCGTGGGATAGCTGAATCAAATGGTATTTCTACATTTAGTTCTTTAAGGAAACTCCATACCGTTTTCCACAGTGGTTGTACTAGCTTACATTCCCACCAGCAGTGTGAAAGTGTTCCCTTTTCACCACATCCACAACTAAATCTGTAATTTTTTTATTGCAGCCATTTTTGCAGGAGCAAGGTGGTATCTCATTGTAGTTTAAATTTGAATTTTCCTGATAGTTAGTGATATTGAGCATTATTTCCTATGTTTGTTGGCCATTAGTGTATCTTCTTTTGAGAATTGTCTATTCATGTCCTTTGTCCACTTTTTGTTGAGGTTATATGTTTTTTCTTACTGATTTGTTTGAATTCCTTGTAGATTCTGGATGTTAATCTTTTTCGCATGCAAAGCTTGTACTGTGGGTTGTCTATTTACTCTGCTGATTATTATTATTATTTTGTTTTTGCAAAAGCTTTTTGGTTTAATTGTCTCATTTATTTTGTTTTTATTGGATTTGCTTTTGCATTCTTGATCATTAATTCTTTGCTAAGCCAATGTCTAGAAGAGTTTTTTTGATATTACCTTCTAGCATATTTATGGTTTCAGGTCTTAGATTTAAGTCTTTGATTTATCTTGAGTTTTGTATAAGGTGAGAGATGAGGATCCAGTTTCATTCTTCTGCATGTGGCTTGTCAATTATCCCAGCACCATTTGTTGAATAGAGTGTCCTTCTATGGAGTCTCACTATGTTGCCCACTCTAGTCTCAAACTCCTGGCCTCAAGTAATCCTCCTGCTTCAGCCTCCCAAAGTGCTGGGATGACAGGTGCGAGCCACCATACGAGGTCCATTATTTTATTTTTATGCTAGTGATAGAATAGAAAATTTGGTATGTAAGGCTTTCACTACTTCTGCCAGCTTTCACTACTTTCCCTGTCATCTATGCTTCTTTCTTTTTCTCCATTTCCCCTTCTTCAATATTTATTTTCTCTTTTTAGCTCAAGGAAGCAGGAAGTTGGTGATGAGGTGAGGAGAGTGGTGTAGAAGTAGGAAAACCCAAAATTTTTTCCCCACTCAAGCCCTCATCCATGTGGTATCAACCCAAGTGGTTGAGAGGTGAAGATGTGCAATTAAATCCATTTCTGTTAATTAATGGCATCCTGGAGCTGGCTGTTATTGGCTAACAAGAGCTGAGTTAAAATTTCAAGAATTTTTTGAGCCAGATGTTAAACAGAGCCATCATTAAAGGTAAATTTTGTAAACTTACAATTAAATAAATTATAATAAAAACAAAGATAACAAGTACTTATCACTTCTTAATTATTTTACTACATTTTACTATTATGTATGCTCTTGAAGTTATTTACAGCTATCATAGTTACATAATGGTAATTGTATTTACACAATAGGAATACTTTACAATGAGAGAATTTTATAATGGGAATACTTTATAATGATATGCCACTGTACAACTCTTTCCAAGTATTTGCACTAAGGAAATAGGCAACAGCTACAAATCAGGGTATGATTTATTGTTTTCTTGATTCTTTAACCTAAGGGTCAGCAAACTTCAGTTAATGGGCCAAATCTAGCTTGCCATCTGATTTAGTAAATAAAATTTGACTGGAGCATAACCAGTTCCAGCTGCAGTGCTGCAACAGTAGAGTTGAGTAGTTGAAGCAGAGACTATATGGATTGTAAAGCCCCAAATATTTCCCATCTATCCCTCTACATAAAAGGATTGCCAACTCTTGGTTTAATTTGGAGAAAATGTTGGAGAAAATGTTAATAATTCAGATTAAATTCACAAGTGTAGCATGTTTGTAGCTGCAATATTGTTGAGTAGCCCCCAAAATTGAAAATACTATTGTTTTAATGTTTGAAAACGATCATCTAACTCAGAAAGTAAGTCATTCAAGTAATGATAAATGAGTGAAGTTCTTTCACATGACTTTGTTGTTTCACTTTCATCTTTCTCATTAACATAAACAAAAATATCATCCAAGATTCATGCTTGAATTACACTTGTTCATCACTTACAAACATAGTTTGACTATAGTTAAAAAAATGTTGCCAAAAATCAACCAAAGTGTTTTCTGAGAAGCAACCAATTATGTGGAATTTACATAAAGCATATTGTGTATTTTATTATTGTTTGTAAATTATGTGCCTCAAGTCCTTTATGTCAGAAAAATCTATAATTCACATATATATATAATTAATATATTCATACCTTTTAAAGAGAACTGGTTGATAAATATTTACCAGCATGACATAGTGTAATAAAATAGTTACTACGTACTGGATGTAGTGAGAAAAAATTGTAAATGAAGTACAAATTAATACTGCACTTCTTTGGACTAGTTTTAAATATAGCTGGATTATAAACTCTTAGAATAGGGATCATTTATTCCTTTGGTCTTAAAGCATCTAGCACAGTGCTGAACACATGGTAGCCACTCAGCTAATACCTGTCAATCATAAATAATGATTCTTGCTTAAAAGGAAACCTTTGCTTTAAATTTGTATAAAACAAATTCCCAAATATTTATTTTGATCTTCCCAATAAACTTTTGAGGACATAGGGCAGAAGTTGTTAGTTCAATTGGACCAATTAGAAAACTGAGACTCATGAAGGTTAAATGTGTGTGTGTGTGTGTGTGTGTGTGTGTAGTTACATATATATGTTTAGTTGACCTTTGAACAACACACATTTGAACTGCTCATGCCCACTTACACATGGAGCAACTTATATGTGGACTTTCTTCAACAAAGCCGGTATCAACAATTACAGAATTCTGCATGAGGCATAACTCCCATATAGAGAAAGGCCACCTCACAGGTCCAACTGGAGGACTTGAGTATTGCATGGATTTGGGTACACACGGGGTTCCTGGAACCAATCCCTGCGTATACCAAGGGATGAGTATATATGCCCTTGCTCTTCGAAGTGTGTCTCTTGGATGAGAAGTCATTCATCACTTGTTATAAAGGCAGTATTCCAAGTGCATCAAAGGCCTACTGCTCAGAAACTTAATGTTAACAAATTTCCCCGGTGATTCCTATGCACGTAACGCTAGTCCAAGAAGTTCTGGGAAGAGTGTTGTTGCATATTGCCTCCTAATATACTATGCTTTTTACGTCAAAATATGAGAATGGTAAATGGTAAATATGGTAAAATTTCTACTTCTTCCAGGTGTTCCTCCCTGTTCCCCCAACCCCAAGAAGCTAAACAGAGATATTTGTATACAGACTCCATTTATCCTGCATTTCCTAGGTAGTATCTGAGCCATAGTGGGTTTCCACGGAAATTAATTTGTCTTGACAATAGGCCTAAAGATTGGAGTCCAGGGATCACTTGGCAAATTCCCTTTAAACAAAGCACAATAATAAACAGAAAATTGATAATGACATTTCTAAAATATCACACAGGAAGAACCAAGAATAGACCTGCTGTCTGTATATCTGTGAATACTTTTGTTAAACTAGCTCTCAGAAGCTTCATGCTTACTAGGATTCTTACATAATGATTTATAAATGTTTTCATATTACATAATTCAGCAGATACTACAAATTCACATTTTAAACCAATTACTTAAGGATAAATAATAAACTTCATCAGTAATGAGAGCCCATTATCACTATTGAAAATAGTTATTAATTTATTTTTAATATTTGAACATTCAAGAACAATTTTTAGCAATCTATTGATTTACAATTCATCACAATATGTTTATTCTTATCAGAAAGTTGTAAGGTAAAATTTAATGCATGCAAATAATGGTTCATAAATCATTTAGTGGTAGTTTAGTATTATGGTATTATCAGTAATGTTTTACATGTTTATTACACAGTTTTCCATTCAAATTTAAATTTTCTTTAAATAACTCTTAAATAACAATTTATTTAATACTGGGTAAGAATAGAGAGCTTAAGTGGTAATATTATAGTTTTATTCTTACACTGCTTGTCTCATGCTAAGCTATTAAATGAGTGTTGTTTATTTTAGGATTCATGTTTGTGCTGTATTTATACTACATGTATTGTATGGCACTTGCATTAATTCCTGTTTCTATTCTTTTAATGGCTAACCCTCCCTGTGAAGGAAATGAAAAGAACATAGTCAAATTGTTAACTGAAAATGTTGGAAATGAGTAACTTCCCAACATATGTATAAAACCACCATTCTCTTTTTATTGGTGACTTCTATGGTCTTTTTCAGTCACATGATTCTCTTTATATGTGTGATAAAATCTACCAAGAAATTTCTGCTTCTTTGCCGTGAAGACATATGTTAGAGTATGTAATGAAATGTGAGAGATGTGGGTGGTATTGTTTAAAACACAAGAAGATGATTTGAAAGTAAAGCCTAATTTTTATTTCAGTGACCAGGGATGTGTTCTGAGTCAGCCTTTCAATGTACAGAAAGGGATATGTGAATGTATTATTAGGAGCAAAATAGAGTATTTGACAAGCATAACGACGTACCTAATGGCTCAAGTCATATATGATTATCTCTACAATCTCAGGGGTTTTTAAAGATGAATTTTGGCACTGTTCTTTAACACAATCATTTTAACCCCCTCAAAAATGCATTATCCTTCCTCATGCAAATTTTTCAAGTAATCATGTATGTGCTTGCAACAAACGGAAATATTAAAGTTGTAAATCTGCAAACCCTAGTGAAAAGAGAGACTAAATTAACCTACTCAATGTTCCAATGCACAGCAACAACTCAAGAGGAAGGGTCATGTTGTGGGAGTTGTTATACTACTATACAAGGGTGGGTGGCAGTTTGTCAGCATCTCCCTAGTTAAGGACTTGGAAAGGCTGTCTCTGGCATTTGAGAAGAATAATATGTATGTTTAAATAAAAATTTCTGTCTACACATTTCCAGTGTAAACATTTTTAACATAGTGGGAAATAATCAGTTACCTACCAAATTTTAAATTTCAGCCTAATGTATCTTCCTGTAGAAAAGCAATACTACATAATAATGTCCATCGATAAAATATGTGGAAAAATTAATATATCTCAACTGATTTACCTTCAGCAAACCTTTGAGCTAGTGCTGTTCATATTCGTGATTTGATATTTCTTTTGTATAGGGAAAAATTAAAACTAGTTTCTGTGCTTTCTAACTATTTTTTCTTTTTATACCAGATCAAATTGGACTGCCATTTCTTTTAATACATAGTTCTGTAACATAACAAGACCACATAATATAAATTTTGTTATATATAATCAGCTTGTGCCTTTAACCACACAGTATATTAGCTGATGGTCTTATGAGATCAATCATAAATTTTTGAATATATATATATATATATATATTATTTGAATAAAAGCCCATGTAGTTCTAACCTTGTGCCCTAAAGGCTGATTTTCCTGAAGAGTCATTATCGTGCTGCTCACATTGTCATTCACCTACATTGTTGAACTTGCTATCAAATAACTTGAAAAACAGTACAAAAGTTATTATATGTCATGGGGAAGATTTACGATAAACTAAGTTTGAAACAAAATAATGAATTCTGGACATTTATCTTGTCTCTAATAACATGGCTACTAACTTCATCAGATTTAATTTAAGTCAGGAAGTTACATTTCCTCTTTTTATATCATATAGTAATTCCTCACACATTCCCTAGTTGAATATAGCTTATGACTATATGCATTTCCAGGTCAAAAGTAACAATTAAAAAACATTTTTAAGCAGCCAAACTGGTTACCAGAGATTATTGTGACTTTCTATGCAGATTAAACTACAGGAGACCTTTCAGTCTGTACTAATTAAAATAGCTAACAATCTTCTAACAGCTTCCAGAGACGGTAAATCTCTGAAAAAGGCAAGAGATATTTTACATTATTGCGCAAAGTTAACGGTGCACATTATGAAAACATACACTACAATAATATAATACTCAACAAATCACTAGGTAAACAGTGACAGTGATTTTGTAACATTTTTGGTGGTTGAGATCCTTCTGGTCGGTATGGGAGTAGGGTGCAAAAATCAGGTGGGCCCTCATAGTACCTGGTTTGAATTACACATTGCTGAAAGAGGCACAGAAGAGTAATAATAATCAATCTTGAATTGCTGATGTCACCCCTCCCCCATCCCCTGGCAGTGGCTGCATGATGCCAAGAGCATCTCTGGGCACTGGGAGAGGGAGAGCATAGAAATTGTGAGGCAGCAAATTCAGTACTGTCCTGTTAGAGCAGAAAAGAAAATTCGAGAAAACTCAATTGACACCCGTCCTCAGAGGGAGAAATTAAACCAGCCCTAGCCATAGGGGAATTACTGTTCTCGGTGCTCTAAACTTGAGTTCCTGCAAACCTTGCCACTGAGGTATAAACTGCTCTGAATCTCTAAGTAAAATTGAAAGGCAGTTTAGGCTATAAGGACTTAAACTCTTAGATGAGTCCTAGGGCTGAACTGGGCCCAGAGACAGTGGATCATGGGGGAGCATCCCATCTACTGAGACACCAGCTGGGGCAGCTAAGGGAATGTTGGCATCACCCTTCCTCTAACACTAGACTGCACAGCTTGCACCTCCAAAAGAGACCCCTTCCTTCCACTTGAGGAGAGGAGAGGAAAGAGTTGGGAGGAATTTGTCTTGCATCTTGGATACCAGCTCACTCACAGAAGGATAGGGCACTAGTCAGAGTCATGAGGGCCTCATTCCAGGCCCTAGTTCCTGGATGACATTTCTAGACACACCCTCGGCCAGAAGGGAACCTACTGCCTTGAAGGGAAGGACCCAGTCCTGGAAGAATTTGTCACCTGCTAAATTAAGAGCCCTTGGGACCAGAATAACCAGCAAGAATACCCAGGTACTATGTCCAGGGCTTTGGATGAGCTTCTGAGGCTTGCTGGCTTCAGATACCAGCATCGACACAGGGAGATAGAGCGCCAAGTGGGCTCTTGGGGTCCCTGATTCCAGGATTTGACTCTTGGATGGCATTTGGGACCTGCTCTGGGCCAAAATGGAGCCCACTGCCCTGAAGCATGAATCCCAGGTGAAGTAACATTCACCACAAGGTGACTTAAGAGCCCTTGGGCCTTAAGAAAACACTGGTGATAGCTGGGAGTATCCTGTGGCCTGTGGTGGCAGTGGCTATGTGGTAAAGTAAGTTTGGAAAGGGGAGGGAAGAGAGGGAAGGTCTGTATCTTGTAGTTTGAGTGCCAGCTCAGCTGCAGCACAATAGAACACAAAGTAGAATTCTAAGGTTGTTGAATCTAGTCCCTGACCCCCGTATGGTAACTCTGGACACACCTGGGGCCTGAGGGAACTCATTAACCTGAAGGGAAGGACACAAATCTGGTTGGATTTGCTACCTGCTGATTGTAGGGCCCTAAGACCTTAACAAAAAAGGCAGTAGACAGGGAGCGTTTACAACAGGCCTTGAGTGAGACCCACGTTTGTACTAGCTTCAGGTCTGACCCAGTGCAGTCATAGTGTTGGCCCAAGAGGTGTTTGTGTCACTTGACCTTCAACTTTAGGTGGCTCAGAATAGAAAGACTCCCTTTGTGTGGAAGAAAGTAAAGGAAGAGAAAAAGAATCTCAGCCTGGTAATGCAGAGAATTCTCCACAATCATGACCATAAAGGCAGTACCTCTACATGTCTAAAATAACCACAATGTTACTGCACTTTGGGTGCCCTCAAAGCTGATACAGCTTAAATTACAGCACCCATGTCCTTGTAAATGTCTGGAAAGCCTTTCCAAGAAGGACAGGTACTGATAAGCCCAGAGAGTGAAGATTACAATAAATACCTACCTCTTCAATGCCCAGGCACTGAAAAACATCTATTAACATCAACGCCATCCAGGAAAACATAACCTCACCAAATGAATTAAGTAAAGCAGCAGGGATCACTCCTGGAGAAAAAGAGCCATGTGACCTTTCAGAGAGAGAATTCAAAATAGCTGTGTTGAAGAAATTCAAAGAAATTCAAAGTAATGCAGAAAAGACATTCAGAATTCTATCAGATAAGTTTAACAAAGAGATTAAAAAAGAATCAATAAAAATTCTGGAGCTGACAAATGCAATTGGCATATTAAAGAACACATCATAGCCTTTCAATAGCAGAATTGATCAAGCAGAAAAAAATCAGCTTGAAGACAGACTATTTGAAAATACACAGTCAGAGGAGACAAAAGTAAAATAAATAAAAAACAATGAAGCATTCCTACTGGAACTAGAAAATAGCCTCAAAAGGGCAATTCTAATGGTTATTGGACTTAATGAGGTGGTAGAGAGAGAGATAGGGGGTAGAAAGTATATTCAATAAGATAACAACAGAGAACTTCCCAAACCTAAGAAATGATATCAATTTTAAAGTACAAGAAGGTTTCAGAATACCAAGCAGATTCAACCCAAAGAAAACTACCTCAAGGTATTTAATAATCAAACTCCCAAAAATTAAGAATAAAGAAAGGACCCTAAAAGCAGCAAAAGTAAAAAACAAATAGATACAATGGAGCTCCAATACATCTGGCAATAGATTTTTCAGTGGAAACCTTACAGACCAGGAGAGAGTGGCATGACATATTTATATTGCTGAAGAAAAAAAAAACTACCCTAGAATGATGTATGTGGTGAAAATATCCTTCAAACATGATGGATAAATAAAGACTTTCCAAGACAAACAAAAGCTGAGGGATTTCATTAACACAAGGGTTTTCCTGCAATAAATGCTAAAGGGAGTTCCTCAAGCAGAAAGAAAATGATGTTAATAAGAAACAAGTAATTACCTGAACATACAAAACTCACCAGTAATAGTAAGAACACAAAAACAGATTACTGTAGCACTATAACTGTGCTGTGTAAACCACTCTTATCCTAAGTAGAAAGACTAAGCAATTAGCAAATCAAAATAATAACCACAACAACTTAGCAAGATGTAGGCCATACCATAAGATATAAATAGCAACAACAAAAAGTTAACAAGTAGGGGGATGCAGTTAAGGCTTAGAGTTTTTATTAGTTTTTTTTTTTTGCCTGCTTGTTGGTTTGTTTATAAAAAACGATGTTAATTTGTTATTGGGATAAAATAATGCTTTATGAAATAGTATTTGAAAGCCTAATGGTGACCTCAAAGCAGAAAACATAAAATGGATACACATAAAATAAAAAGCAAGAAACTAAATCATATCAACAGAGAAAATCACCATCACTAAATGAACACAGGAAGGAAAGAAAGAGGGAAGACAAGACCACAAAACAACCAGAAAACAAATAACAAAATGGCAACAGTAAGTCTTTACTTATCAATAATAACATTGGAAGTAAATCGACCAAACTCTCCAATCAAAACTCATACAGTGGCTGAATGGATGAAAAAACAGGACCCATTGATCTGTTGTCTACAAGAAATACACTTTTGCTATAAAGACACACAAAGACTAAAAATACAGGGATGTAAAAATATAATCCATCTGAATAGAAACCAAAAAAGAGCAGGAGTCACTATACTTATATCAGACAAAATAGATTTCAAGATGAAAACTATAAGAAGAGACAAAAAGGTCACTATATGAGATAAAGTGGTCTATTCAGCAAGATAATATAACAATTTAAAACATTAATATATATGCACCCAACACTGGAGCACCAAATATATAAAGCAAATATTACTAGAGCTAAAGAGAGAGAGAAGCCCCAAAACAATAATAGCTGAAGAATTCAACACCTCACTTTCGACATTTGACATATATTCCAGAACAGAAATAAAGGAATATCAGACTTAATCTGCACTACAGACCAAAAGGATCTAATAAATATTTATAGAACATTTTATCCAATGGCTGTAAAATACACATGACTGTCCACAGCACATAAATGATTGTCAAGGATACACTGTATGTTAGGTTACAAAATAAGTCTTAAAACATTAAAAAAAACTTGAAAAAAAAAAATCAAGCATCTTTCTTGACCACAATGAAATAAAACTAGAAATTAATAAGAAGAAAATTTTGGAAACTATTCAAATACATAGAAATTAAACAATATGCTCCCGAATGACAAGTGGGTCATGAGAAAGAAGTTGATTTTTTTAAAATAAATTATAATGGAAACACAACATACCAAAACCTATGGGATATAGCAAAAACCGTACTAACAGGGAAGTTTATAGCTATAAGTGCCTACATCAAAAGTAGGAAAAAAAAACTTCAATGCATCTTAAAGAACTAGAAAAGCAAGAGCAAACAAAACTCAAAATCAGTAGAAGAAAAGAAATAAAGATCAAAGAAGAAGTAAATAAAATTTAAATGAAGAAAACAATACAAAAGATCAACGAAACAAAAAGTTGGATGTTTGAAAAGTTAAACAAAACTGACAAACCTCTAACCTGACTAAAAAAGAAAAAAATAAAGAGAGAAAATCCAAATAAATAAAATGAGAAATGAAAAAGAAGACATTACAACTGATACTGCAGAAATTGAAAGAGTCATTAGTGGCTACTGTCAGCAACTATATGCCAATAAATTCACAAATCTAGGAGAAATTGACAAATGCCTGGACACATAATAACATACCAAGACTGAACAAGGAAGAAATCCAAAACCTAAACAGACCAATAACAAGTAAAGAGATCAAAGTCACAATACAAATTTCTCCATAAAATAAAAATCCTGAGACCCAATAACTTCACTACTGAATTCAACCAAACATTTAAAAAATAACTAATACCAACCCTGTTCTAACTATTCTAAAACATAGAGGAGGAGAAAATACTTCCAAACACATTCTATGAGGCCAGTATTGCCTTGAAACCAAAACCACACAAAGATACATCAGAAAAAGAAAAGTACAGGCCAACAGTGCTGATGAATATAGATATAAAAATTCCCCAAAAATACTGACAAATGGAATCCAATAATAAATTAAAAAGATCATTCATCATTACCAAGTAGAATTTATTCCAGGTATGCAAGGATGGTTCAACACACACCAATCAATTCATGTGATAAACCATATCAACAGAACGAATGATAAAAACCATGTGATCATGTCAATTAATGCTGAAAAAGCAGTTGATAATATTCAGCATCCCTTCATTTGAAAATTTTTATAGTATTTGCATAGAGTAAAACTTTTTCTTCCTGTTTTTGCCTTTCTTTAAGTGTAATATATACTCTCCAAACATACTTTCTTAAGAGTAGTATGTGCAAAAAAAAAACCCCAAAACAAAAAAGGATGTTGTTTATGTCATTTCAAAAAGATAAAGAAATAGAAAACAAAACAATCAGAAAAAGAAACAAACCAACCCAATGGTATAGGGTACTTTTTCTAAGAGTTTAAAGTTGTAGAAGACAGAAAGTGACATAAGCAAAAGTGGAAAGACTCTTTTCTATTTCTTATTCACTGTAACCTTTGTTGAAAAGTTAAAAAAAAAAAAAAACAGGAAAACGTAGTCAATGTAACAATAGTTTTTCCCACACCAATGGGTTTATAGTGATAAAAAACCAGCAGCAGGCCCAGAGGTAAGTTAAACAAATACTATGTTGAATCAAAATTAAAGTTATGGAATCCTGTTTTGTCTTATTACCTGAGTTACTTTTTCTGGTTCCTTCTCATTTGGGTAGACTATTTTTTTTAAATTGTTCTTGAATTTATTTTTAATTGGACTGCATTTTTAAAGTTTTTTTTTGTTCTCTAAGAATTGACTTCAATATTTATTTGAGCCTAATATGATTCTTGGTGCATTTAGGGGTTAAAACTTTATGAGTTCCTTAGTTATAGAGAGTCTTTGTGCACTGGCTTTACCAGATGCTAGTTGTAGTAGTTACATTCTTGGTGTGGGGAGAGTTCACTGTCTCTTACGGGGTTGAAATGGCCGGGTCCCCTTGAAGTGTACCTTGTTCTCTAGTGGTGCACACTTTATTTATTTGCACTTTACCCAGTACTTTATTTACTGAGTTGACAATTCAGGCTTCAGGCCAATAAGGGAGATATCCCTGGGTAGCTAAGGCAGTTGTAGCTAAGGCAGGTGGGTAGATTAATACCCAATGATGTGCTGAGGTCTTGGCCTTAATGAGGTTGGTTGGAGAGAGATCTTTATAACATGCACTGAGGTTTAATCAGGGTAAAGAGTGGAAGCTACCTCAGATTCCCTGCCAGGCCAGAAAGGAAAGTTATTCACCTCATAGCCTTGCTCCTGTCCCAGTGTTTCAGCTATTCAAATCTGACAGGCATCTTTTATTCATAATTTAAAATCAAAAAATAATAGATGTTGGCATGGATGTTGTGAAAAGGGAACACTTTTACAATGCTGGTGGGAATGCAAACTAGTTCAACCACTATGGAAAACAGTATGGATATTCCTTAAAGGACTAAAAATAGAACTACCATTTTATCCAGCAATCCTACTACTGGGCATCTACCCAAAGAAAAATGTTATATGAAAAAGACACACGCACACATGTTTATAGCAGCACAACTGCAATTTCAAAAATATGGAACTAACCTAAATGCACATCAACCAACAAGCAGATTAAGAATATGTGAGATATGTATATATATTTGTGTATATATATATATACATATATATGTGTATGTATATATGTGTGTATATATATGTGTATATATACACACACACACACACACACACACACACACACACACACCAAGGAATACTACTCAGCCATAAAAAAGAACAAAATAATGGCATTTGCAGCACCTTGGATGGAGCTGGAGCCCATAAATCTAAGAAAAGTAGCTCAGGAGTGGAAAACCAAATATCATATGTTCTCACTTGTAACTGAGAGCTAAGCTTTGAGGGTGTAAAGGCATAGGAATTATATAATGGACTTTGGAGACTTGGGGCGAAGGTTGAGGGGGGGTGAGGGATAAAAAACTGCATACAGCATACACTTCCCAGATAACGGGCTCACCAAAATCTCTGAAATCACCACGAACAAACTTGTCCATGTAACCAAAAACCACCTATATCCCCAAAACTATTAAAATAAAAAAGTTAAAATCAAAAAGAATATGCTACTTTTTTATTGCTAACTTTATGAAGTTATTGAAGGTGAGTTATTCTGCATGTTCAAAGAATAAAACCTTGGAGAATAATCCTACTGAGTCTTCATATGTTACAACTGGCAGAGTCTACGGATTCAAACAACTGTTCTAGTCGTAAAAATTTACTCAACTATTTGACAGAGTTGATTATTCTGTTGATTTACTGGTTAAGGCAACATGTTTTAGCTCTCTTGTAGTCAAGGTGTTGTTTGTAAGGGAGTTAATGAGAGCTTTATTTTGCTCCATGTGCATCAATGTACATCTCGAGTTCTGTTCTTAATATTAGGTGCCTCCATTATCAGCATTCCTGTAATGTTGTGTCATTCAGGAAAAGCAATATATTTCATCTGGTTTTCAGTTATGTTTTATTTTACATTACACATGGAGGTGCAAAGGAAGGGCATCATAATCTTTTTGATATGTAAGACCTCTAAAGGTCTCAATCCAGATATTAGTGCCACGTTTGAAAAGAGTTATTGAAAAACTGAAGTCTATTCAGGGGGACATAATTTTAGTCATTCAATCAGTCAAGTCAGCCATTATAAAAAATACTTGAAATAGTAGGAGAGTGACTAAGATGATAAAAATGAAGAAAGCCCACATCACATGAAAAAAAATTGGAGGATATTTAGTTTTAGAAGAGACAATTCTGTTTGTTTAATGCAGGCTGGGGGTTGGGGGATTAAAGCAGAATAGAGGTCTTCAAACATTCAAAGAACTATTATATAGAAGAAGGATTCAAGTTGATCTTTATGACTCCAACAGGGAGAGTTACATCAATACATGGAAGTTAAAGGGAGTCAAATGTTGTCTATATTAAAACAGGAATTTTCTAAGAGTAACAGCTGACCCTAAATTAAATGGACGGTCTATGTCTCTTGTGATGTTCAAACATCTCAAGATAACTGTATGTAGGGATGTTGGAGGGAAAAATCAGGTAATGGCATAATTAAAAAAACAAGTAAAATATATAAAGTTTAATGAAGATAAATTTATTTACTTTTTTAGTTATGAAATGTCTTTAAAAATGATGTTAGATGAAAAACTTTAAAAATGTTTTTATTTAACCAAAAAGATGGCAACAATGTTAGTCTTCTTATAAACATTTGAAAATTAAAGTATAAATTGCTGGCCAGTGGAATCAAAGTTTTTTGAAACACTGAATAAAATGACTCTCAAGATTCTTTTCTATGTCGAGTATCTATAATTTAGATATCGGGGATGGTGAATGGTAAAGTGTTGAAGCCTCCTTGCAGTTATTAACTATTTGCTGTGAATGGTTTCATCAGATTGCCTTTCCCCTTAAAGGTAGGCCTGGTCACTATTCACAATAGCAAAGACTTGGAACCAACCCAAATGTTCATCAATGAAAGACTGGATTAAGAAAATGTGGCACATATATGCCACGGAATACTATGCAGCCATAAAAAATGATGAGTTCATGTCCTTTGTAGGGACATGGATGAAGCTGGAAACCATCATTCTCAGCAAACTATCACAAGGACAGAAAACCAAGCACCACATGTTCTCACTCTTAAGTGGGAATTGAACAATGAGAACACATGGACACAGGAAGGGGAACATCACACACCGGGGCCAGTTGTGGGGTGGGAGGAGGGGGGAGGGTTAGCACTAGGAGATATACCTAATGTAAATGATGAGTTAATGGGTGCAGCACACCAACATGGCACATGTATACATATGTAACAAACCTGCATGTTGTGCACACGTACCCTAGAACTTGAAGTATAACAAAAAAAACAAGTAGGCCTGATCAACGTAAGAGCTCCATAACTCTGGCATGGAAAGAAGGTACTGGAAAGAAAAGCAAAAGATGCAGAGGACATCTAAGCCAAACACTAACTGCTTTAACATTTTGCTCTTGGTAACTTTATTTTGTGTTCTTCTCTATTATCTTATTATTTCCCTTTGAACTTCTCTGTAGAGCATTGCTCTGCCTTAAAATCTCTATCGATTTAAATAATTATTCAATTAGAAGATATCATTACAAAATAGGTCAATGTTGCTGCTAAGTAAAGGATTCCATGCACTTAAAGGAGTCATTTTGGAAAGTGTTATTTCCAATATCAGAGTCTCACAGGTGTTGTTTTATTCACTTTTTAAAATCTTATATGCTTGTTTGGCAGTGCACTGTGCTGAAGGTATTTCAGTGCTGATCATTTAATAGGAATTTCTCAGATTAGCTCCCTCCCACATTTGTCTGCATGTAAAAATGGTTGAAAATTTCACAACTAGAAACGTACTTTCATTAAATGGTTAGCTTTCACATAGAGCAGAATGAGGTTTTAAAACTCTCATAAATGTATGTACTTTTTTAAAATTATACTTTAAGTTTTAGGGTACATGTGCTCAACGTGCAGGTTTGTTACATATGTATACATGTGCCATGTTGGTGTGCTGCACCCATTAACTCGTCATTTAACATTAGGCGTATCTCCTACTGCTATCCCTCCCCCTTCCCCTCACCCCACAACAGGCCCTGGTGTGTGATGTTCCCCTTCCTGTGTCCATGTGTTCTCATTGTTCTATTCCCATCTATGAGTGAGAATATGTGGTGTTTGGTTTTTTGTTCTTGCGATAGTTTACTGAGAATGATGATTTCCAATTTCATCCATGTCCCTACAAAGGACATGAACTCATCCTTTTTTATGGCTGCATAGTATTCCATTATTTATATGTGCCACATTTTCTTAATGTAGTCTATCATTGTTGGACATTTGGGTTGGTTCCAAGTCTTTGCTATTGTGAATAGTCTCGCAATAAACATGCGTGTGCATGTGTCTTTAAAGCAGCATGTTTTATAATCCTTTGGGTATATACCCAGTAATGGGATGGCTGGGTCAAATGGTATTTCTAGTTCTAGATCCCTGAGGAATTGCCACACTGACTTCCACAAAGGTTGAACTAGTTTACAGTCCCACCAGCAGTGTAAAATTGTTCCTATTTCTCCATATCCTCTCCAGCACTTGTTGTTTCCTGACTTTTTAATGATTGCCATTCTAACTGGTGTGAGATGGTATCTCATAGTGGTTTTGATTTGCATTTCTCTGATGGTCAGTGATGATGAACATTTTTTCATGTGTCTCTTGGCTGCATAAATGTCTTCTTTCTAGAAGTGTCTGTTCATATCCTTTGCCCACTTTTTGATGGGGTTGTTTGTTTTTTTCTTGTAAATTTGTTAGAGTTTATTGTAGATTCTGGATATTAGCCCTTTATCAGATGAGTAGATTGCAAAAATTTTCTCCCATTCTGTAGGCTGCCTGTTCACTCTGATGGTAGTTTCTTTTGCTGTGCAGAAGCTCTTCAGTTTAATTAGATCCCATTTGTCAATTTTGGCTTTTGTTGCCATTGCTTTTGGTGTTTTAGACATGAAGTCCTTGCCCATGCTTATGTCCTGAATGGTATTGCCTAGGTTTTCTTCTAGGGTTTTTATGGTTTTAGGTCTAACATTTAAGTCTTTAATCCATCTTGAATTAAGTTTTGTTTAAGGTGTAAGGGAGGGATCCAGTTTTAGCTTTCTACATATGGCTAGCCAGTTTTCCCAGCAGCATTTATTAAATAGGGAATCCTTTCCCCATTTCTTGTTTTTGTCAGATTTGTCAAAGATCAGACAGTTGTAGATATGCAGCATTATTTCTGAGGGCTCTGTATGTAATGTTTATGTGTAAACATTTGATTGAAAATATGAAGACATTACAAGTTTTTACTGCCTGTGGTGCTTAAATTTTAAGTAAATACTACTTGTTAGCCAAACTTATTAACCATAATGTGTACAATTTAGAATCTAATATCATATATTTATGATAGAAAAATCAATTTATAAGTTCAGTTCATTTTTCCTCACTAACAGTTGAAACAAAATTGTTTGACATTTGTATGTATTAAAATATTATTCTAAAGACAATTTATGAGGAAAAATTATGTAATGTATCTCAAATGCTTCAAGTATGAGAATCCTCTTCACTCAGTAAAACTGGGTTTCATGGCTACCTTTAGAAAATGTTGTTTTGTTTTTCATATTTATTTTTATGTATTTTTAATTGTCAATAATTGTGGATATTTACAGAGTACAACGTGATGTTTTGATCTACATATACATTACAGAAAGATTCATTCAAACTAATTAAGATGCACATCATCTCACCATACTTATCATTGTTTTAAATAGACATAAAGTAAATTCCGTTTAATGTAATACAATTTTTTTAATGCCACTATTTTTATGGATATAAATGTGACAACATCACTAAAAGTCCTATGTGTTGATTTTCCCAGAAGTAAAAGAGAAGAAAATTGGTAACCAAAGCTGGAGGTCTAGATATGTAAAAATTTCTGAATTAAAACTCTGTCTTTGAAATGTTTTTCGAAAACAATACTATTCCAAATACCTCAAAGCTGTTCATTTCCTTTCTCTTTACAAAAAGGTTAATGAATGTGTTTAAAAGTTAATGCAGATTATTTATTTCACTTACTAAAATATCCCAATTATATTATGTGTCAAAATCTGATCCATTCAAGGTTTTTAATTGAAATGATGTTCCAGCAGCTGATGTTATTATGGAGTAGTAGAAAAGCTGAACGACGTGGGATAACAGGCTAGTCATATGCAGAAGACTAAAACTAGACCCCTTCCTTACACCATACACAAAGGGGAATTAAAGACCTAAATGCACAACTTAAACCTATAAAATTCCTGAAAGATAACCTAGGAAATACCATTCTCATCATAAGCCATGGCAAATATTTTATGGAGAAGAGGCCAAAAGCATATATATATATATATATATATAGAGAGAGAGAGAGAGAGAGAGAGTGTGTCTTGCTCTGTCGCCAGGCTGGAGTGCAGTGGCACCATCTCGGCTCACTGCAACCTCTGCCACCCAGGTTCAAGCGATTCCCCTGGCTCAGCCTCGTGAGTAAGTAGCTGGGACTACAGGAGTGTGCCACCCCGCCCGGCTAATTTTTTGTATTTTAGTAGAGACGGGGTTCCACCATGTTGGCCAGGATGGTCTTGATCTCCTGACCTCGTGATCCACCCATCTCGACCTCTCAAAGTGCAGGGATTACAGGCGTGAGCCACTGCACCCGGCCAAAAATAAATATTGACAAATAGGATGTAATTAAACTAAAGAAGTTCTGCACAGCAAAATAAACTATCATCAGAGTAAACAGACAACACACATAATGGGAGAATCTATTTGCAAACTATGCATCCAACAAACATCTAATATCCAGAATCTTTAAAGAATGTAAACAACTAACAAGCAAGAAACAAACAACTCCATTAAAAAGTGTGCAAATAACATGAACAGACACTTTCACAATTAAGACATGCATGCCACCAACAAGTATATAAAAAACTGCTCAACATCAGTAATCATTAGAGAAATACAAATCAAAACCACAAGGAGATATCATCTCACACCAGTCAGAGTGACTATTATTAAAAAGTCAGATATTCTGGACAGGATGGTCGACTAGAAAGAGCTGTGGTTGGAGGCTCCCACCAAGAAGAACCAAAAGGGCGAGTGAATCCTGCACCAGTAACTGAGATATCCAGCTTCTCTCACTGGAACTAATTAGGTAGTTGGTGTGACCCACAGACAGTCAGTGAGAGCAGGGTAGTGTGACAGCCCAAATGAGAGCCACATGGGGCAAGGGAAGCTCCCACCCCCAGCCAAGGGAAGTGGTGAGTGATTGTGCTACCCTGCATGGGAAATGGTGCTTTTTTTCATAGATCTGTGCAACCCACAGATAAGGAGATCCCACTTGTGGGCCCATGTCACCAGGGCCTTGGGTCTCAAGCACAGAGCTGTGCAGATTCTCAGTGGCTATTTGGCTGGAGACTGCCTAAGGCTACTGCGTTCCCAAGGGGAGGGACAGCCATCATCACTGTGGCTGCTTGCTGCCTAAGACAACTGAGCTCCCTGGAGGAGGGGCAGCAGCCATCACTGAAGCTCCAGTCTGCAATTTTTCCCCTGCTGGTGGTGGGGAGACAGGATGGTTTGAGCCCAGCAGGAATTTCACAGAGCTACAGCACACCAGCTGTGGCATATCATGCCAGACTGCCTCTTTAGGCTGGCCCTTGACCCATTCTTTCTCACTGGATGGGGACTCCCTGCAGGAATTTCAGCAACCCCAGCCATGGGGTATAGGGACAGAATTCTGATCCCCCTGGGACTGAGCCCCTGTGTGGCTGTGGTCTCTGTGTATTAGCAGACTTAGTCTTTCCCCTGCTGACTCTAAAAAATCTGGACAGTCCAGATGAGTGGGCTCCTCAGAGTGCAGCACACTGTCTCCACCAAGGGGCAGCCCGAGTGCTAGTTAAGTGGGTCCTAGATTCTGTGCCCCTTGGCTAGGCGGGACCCCCCAACAGGGTTTGCCAGATACCTTATACAGGAACATTCCTGCTACAACAGGTCTGTGTCCCTCAGGGACAGGGATCCCAGAGGAAGGAGAAGGCAGCCATCTTTGCTGTTCTGCATGTCAGGTGACATGTCCAGGGGGGAAGAGAGCCAGGTGAATAGTGCCTGAAGTGGACACCCAGAAAACTGCAACAGCCCTACGGAAGAGGAACCTCACTGTTAAAAGAAAAACAAACAAACAGAAAGTGACAACATTCACAAAATGTCCCCACAAAAACTACATCCAAAGTTAACAGCCTCAAAGATCAAAATTAGAGAAACTCATGAAAATGAGAAAGAATCAAAGTAAAATCACAGAAAATTCCAAAAGCCCAAATGCCTATTATCCTCCAAATGATTGCAACACCTCTCCAGCAAGGGCACAGAACTGATGCGGAAGCTGAAATGGATGAATTGACAGAAGTAAGCTTCAGAAGGTGGGTAATAACAAACTTAACTGAGCTAAAGGAGAATGTTCTTACCCAATACAAAGAAGCTAAGGACCACCATAAAACATTATAGGAGTTGTTAACCAGAATAACCAGTGTAGAGAAGAACATTAATGACCTGATGGAGCTGAAAAACACAACATGAGAACTTCACAATAAAACCACAAGTATCAATAAGAGAATAGACCAAGCAGAGAAAATAATTTCAGAGCTCGGAGACTATCTTGCTGAAATAAGACAGGCAGGCAAGATTAGAGGAGAAAAAAAAAGAAAAGAAAAAGAAAAAAGAAAAGGAATGAACAAAACCTCCAAGAACTATGGGATTATATAAAAAGACTGAACTTATGACAGATTGGGGTACCTGAAAGAGATGGGGAGGATGGAACCAAGTTGGAAAATATACTTCAGGATATCATCCAAAAGAACCTCCTCAACCTAACAAGATAGGCAAACATTCAAATTCAGAAAATCTGGAGAACCCAAGTAAGAAACTCTATGAGAAGGTCAAGCCCAAGACACAATCATTAGATTCTCCAAGGTCGAAATGAAGGAAATCATGTTAAGGGCAGCCAGAAAGAAAGACCACGTTACTTACAGAGAAAAGCCCATTAGACTAACAGCAGACCTCTGAGCAGAAACCCTACAAACCAGAAGAGATTGAAGTCCAATATTCAAAATTCTTAAAGAGAATAATTTACAACCCAGAATTTCATACCCAGCCATACTAAGCTTCATAACCAAAGTGGAAATAAAATCCTTTTCAGACAAGCAAATGCTGAGGGAATTCATCACCACCAGGCCTGCCTTACAAAGAGCTCCTGAAAGAAGCACTAAATGTAGAAAGGAAACACCATTACCAGCCACTGCAAAAACACACTGAAATACAAGGACAAATGACACTACGAAGCAACTGCATCAACAAGTCTAAAAAATAACCGGCTAACATCATGATGACAGGACCAAATTCACACATAGCAATATTAACCTTAAATGTAAATGGGCTAAATGCCCCAGTTAAAATACACGGAATGGCAAACTGGATAAAGAGTCAAGAACCATTGGTGTGCCATATTCAAGAGACCCATCTCACATGTGAAGACACACATAGGCTAAAAATAAAGGGATGGAGGAAAACTTACCAAGTAATTGGAAAGCAGAAAAAAAGCAGGGGTTGCAATCCTAGTTTATGACAAAACAGAATTTAAACTAAAAAAGATAAGAAAAAACACAAAGAAGGGTATGACATAAAATAAAGGCATCAATTCAACAAGAAGAGCTAACTGTCCTAAATATATATTCACCCAATACAGGAGCACCCAAATTCACAAAACAAGTGCTTAGAGATCTCCAAAGAGACTTAGACTTCACACAATTATAGTGGGAGACTGTAACACCTCATTGTCAATATGAGACAGATCATCGAGACAGAAAAATAACAAGGATATTCAGGACTTTAACTCAGCTCTGGATCAAGTGAACCTGGTAAATATCTATAGAACTCTCCACCCAAAACCAACAGAATATACATTTTTCTCAGAGCCACATGGCACTTACTCTAAAATCTATCACAGAATTGGAAGTAAAACACTCTTCAGCAAATGCAAAAGAACTGAAATCATAACAGTCTCTCAGACCACAGTGCAATCAAATTAGAACTCAAGATTAAGAAACTCACACAAAGCCACACAAACACATGGAAATTGAACAATCTGCTCCTGAATGACTCTGGGGGTAAATAATAAAATTAAGGCAGAAATGAAGAAGTTATTTGAAACCAATGAGATCAAAGAGACCATGTACCAGAATCTCTGAGACATAGCTAAAGCAGTGTTAAGAGGTAAACTTATAGCACTAAATACCTACATTGAAAAGCTAAAAGGATCTCAAATCAGCACCCTAACATCCCAAAAAAAAGAACTAGAGAATCAATAGCAAAGAAACCCAAAAGCTAGCAGAAGACAAGAAACGATTAAGATCAGAGAAGAATTGAAGGAGATAGAGACACAAAAAAACTTTCAAAAAACCAATAAATCCAGGAGCTGGTTTTTAAAAAAATAATAAAATGGATAGACTGCTGGCTAGACTAATAAAAAAGAAAAAAATAATAATCAAACTGACACTACAAAAAATGATAAAAAGGATATCACCACTGATCCCACAAAAATACAAGCAACCATCAGCAAATACTATGAACCCCCCTATGCAAATAAACTAGAAAATCTGGAAGAAATGAATAAATTTCTGGACACATACACCCTCCCAAGACTAAACCAGGAAGAAATTGAATCCCTGGAGAGACCAACAAAAAGTTTGAAATTGAGGGAGTAGTAAAAAGTCTACCAACCAACAAAAGCCCAGAATCAGATGGATTTACACCTAAATTTTACCACAGGTACAAACAAGAGCTGGTACCATTTCTTCAGAAACTATTCCAAACAATTGAAAAAGAGAGACTCCTCCATAACTCTTTTTATGAGGCCAGCTTCATCCTGATACCAAAACCTGGCAGAGATACAACAAAAAAAGAAAACTTTAGGCCAATATATTTGAAGAACATTGATGCAAAAATTCTCAAAAAATTACTGGCAAATGGAATCCAGCACCACCTCAAAAAGCTTATCCACCATGATAAATTTGGCTTAATTCCTGGGATGTAAACCTGATTCAACATATGCAAATCAGTAAACATAATTCATTGCATAAGTAGAACTAAAGGAAAAACTACATGATTATCTCAATAGATGCAGAAAAGGCCTTCAATAAAATTCAACATCTCTTCATATTAAAAATTCTCGGCTCTAGCCAGACTGCCTCTCTAGATTCCTCCTCTCTGGGAAGGGCATCCCTGAAAAAAAGGCAGCAGCCCCAGTCAGGGACTTATAGATAAAACCCCCATCTCCCTGGGACAGAGCATCTGGGGGAAAGGGCGGCTGTGGGCGCAGCTTCAGCAGATTTAAACGTCACTGCCTGACGGCTCTGAAGAGAGCAGGGGATCACCCAGCACAGTGTTCAAGTTCTGCTAAGGGTCAGACTGCCTCCTCTAGCTGGTCCCTGACGCCTGTGTCTCCTGACTGGGAGACCCTTCCTAGCAGGGGCCAACAGACCCCTCATACAGGAGATCTCTGGCTGGCATCTGGCAGGTGCCCGTCTGGGACAAAGCTTCCAGAGGAAAGAACAGGCAGCAATCTTTGCTGTTCTGCAGCCTCCGCTGGTGATACCCAGGCAAACAGGGTCTGGAGTGGACTTCCAGCAAACTCCAGCAGACCTGCAACAGAGGGTTCTGACTGTTAGGAAAACAACTAACAGAAAGGAATAACATCAACATCAACAAAAAGGATGTCCACTCAGAAACCCTATCCAAAGGGCACCAACATCAAAGACCAAAGGTAGATAAATCCACAAAGATGGGGAGAAACCAGCACAAAAAGGCTGAACATTCCAAGAAACAGAACGCCTCTTCTCCTCCAAAGGATCACAACTCCTCGCCAGCAAGGAAACAAAACTGGACGGAGAATGAGTATGACAAATTGTCCGAAGTAGGCTTCAGAAGGTGGACAATAACAAACTCTTCTGAGCTAAAGGAGCATGTTCTAACCCAATGCAAAGAAGCTAAGAACCTTGAACAAAGGTTAGAGGAATTGCTAACTAGAATAACTACTTTAGAGAAGAACATAAATGACCTGATGGAGCCAAAAAACAGCACAAGAACTTCGTGAAGCATACATAAGTATCAATAGCCAAATCGATCAAGTGGAAGGAAGGATATCAGATATTGAAGATCAACTTAATGAAATAAAGTGTGAAGACAAGATTAGAGAAAAAAGAATGAAAATAAACAAACAAAGCCTCCAAGAAATATTGGAGTATGTGAAAAGACCAAACCTAAGTTTGATTGGTGTACTTGAAAGTTACGGGGAGAACAGAACCAAGTTGGATAACACTCTTCAGGATATTATTCAGGAGAACTTCCCAAACCTAGCAGGACAGGCCAATATTCAAATTCAGGAAATACACAGAACACCACAAAGATACTCCTTGAAAAGAGGAATCCCAAGACACATAATCGTCAGATTCACCAAGGTTGTAATGAAGGAAAAAATGTTAAGGGCAGCCAGAGAGAAAGGTCGGGTTACCCACCATCAGACTAACAGTGGATCTCTCTGCAGAAATCCTACAAGCCAGAAGAGAGTGGGGGCCAATATTCAACATTCTTAAAGAAAAGAATTTTCAATCCAGAATTTAATATCCAGCCAAACTAAGCTTCATAAGTGAAGGAGAAATAAAATCCTTTACAGACAAGCAAATGCTAAGAGATTTTGTCACCACCACACCTGCCTTCCAAGAACCCCTGAAGGAAGAACTAAACATAGAAAGGAGCAACCGGTACCAACCACTGCAAAAACATACCAAATTGTAAAGACCATAGACACTATGAAGAAACTGCAACTATTGAGCAAAATAAGCAGCCAGCATCATAATGACAAAATCAAATTCAAACATAACAATATTAACCTTAAATGTAAAAGGGCTAAATGCCCCTATTAAAAGACACAGTCTGGCAAATTGGATAGAGTCAAGACTCATTGGTGTGCTGCATTCAGGAGAGCCATCTCACGTGCAAAGACACACATGGGCTCAAAATAAACTGATTGAGGAATATTTACCAAGCAAACGGAAAGAAAAAAGAAAAGCAGCAGTTGCAATCCTAGTCTCTGATAAAAACAGGCTTTCAACCAACAAAGATCAAAAGAGACCAAGAAGGGCATTTCATAACATTAAAGGGATCAATGCAACAAGAAGAGCTAACTATCCTAAATATATATGCACCCAATACAGGAGCACCCAGATTCATAAAGCAAGTTCTTAGAGACCTACAAAGAGAATTAGGCTCCCACACAATAATAGTGGGGGACTTTAACACCTCACTGTCCATATTAGATAGATCAATGAGACAGAAAACTAACAAGGATATTCAGGATTTAAACTCAGCTCTGAACCAAGTGGACCTAACAGACATCTACAGAACTCTCCATCCTAAATCAACAAAATATACATGCTTCTGAGCACCATATCACACTTATTTTAAATTTGACGACATAATTGGAAGTAAAACACTCCTCAGCAAATGCAAAAGAATGGAAATCATAACAAACCATCTCTCAGACCACAATGCAATCAAATTAGAACTCAGGATTAAGAAACTCACTCAAAACCGCACAACTACATAGAAACTAATCAACCTGCTCCTGAATAACTACTGGGTAAATAATAAAATCAAGGCAGAAATAAATAAGTTCTTTGAAACCAATGAGAACAAAGACATGATGTACCAGAGTCTCTGGGACACAGTTAAGGCAGTGTTTAGAGGGAAATTTATAGCACTAAATGCCCACAAAAGAAAGCAGGAAATATCTAAAATCAACACCCTAACATCACAATTAAAAGCAAGAGCAAACAAATTCAAAATCACAAACTATCGGGGAACCTGCCCCGATATTCACATAGGTTCTTTTCTATTTTCCTTAAGCATTGGCTGGCTTGAGAAATAAAGGGACAGAGTACAAAAGAGAGAAATTTTAAAGCTGGGCATCTGGGGGAGACATCACATGTCGGTAGGTTCCTTGATGCCCCACAAGCCACAAAAACCAGCAAGTTTTTATTAGGGATTTTCAAAGGGGAGGGAGTGTGCAAATAGGTGTGGGTCACAGACATCAAGTACTTTACAAGGTAATAGAATATCACAAGGCAAGTCGAGGCAGGGTGAGATCACAGGACCACAGGACCGGGGCGAAATTAAAATTGCTAATGAAGTTTCATGCACCATTGTCATGGATAACATCTTATCAGGAGACAGGGTTTTGAGAGCAACTGGTCTGACCAAAATTTATTAGGCGGGAATTTCCTCTTCCCAATAAGCCTGGGAGCGCTATGGGAGACTGGGGTCTATTTCACCCCTGCAGTCTGGACCATAAGAGACAGCCACGCCCAGGGGGGCCAGTTCAGAGACTCACCCCGAGGTGCGCATTCTCTTTCTCAGGGATGTTCCTTGCTGAGAAAAAGAATTCAGTGATATTTCTCCCATTTGCTTTTGAAAGAAGAGAAATATGGCTCTGTTCTGCCTGGCTCACCAGTGCTCGGAGTTTAAGGTTATCTCTCTTGTTTCCTAAACATTGCTGTTATCCTGTTCTTTTTTCAAGGTGCCCAGATTTCATATTGTTCAAACACACATGCTGTACAATTTGTGCAGTTAATGCAATTATTACAAGGTCCTGAGGTGACATACATCCTTCTCAGCTGACAGGATTAAGAGATTAAAGTAAAGACAGGCATAGGAAATCACAAGGGCATTGATTGGGGAAGTGATAAGTGTCCATGAAATCTTTACAATTTGTGTTTAGAAATTGCAGTAAAGACAGGCATAAGAAATTACAAAAGTATTAATTTGGGGAACTAATAAATGTCCATGAAATCTTCACAATCTATGTTCTTCTGCCATGGCTTCAGCCAGTCCCTCCGTTTGGGGTCCCTGACTTCCCACAACAACAAACCACAAATTAAAAGCAAGAGCAAACAAATTCAAAACCTAGCAGAAGACAAGAAATAACTAAGATCAGAGCAGAACTGAAGGAGATAGAGACAAAAAAACCCTTCAAAAAATCAGTAAATCCAGGAGATGGTTTTTTGAAAAGATCAACAAAATAGCTAGATCACTATTCAGACAAATAAAGAAGAAAAAAGAGAAGAATCAAATAGATGAAATAAAAAATGATACAGGGGATATCACCACAGATCCCACAGAAATACAAGCTACCATCAGAGAATACCATAAACAACTCTACACAAATAAACTAGAAAATCTAGAAGGAATGGATAAATTCCTGGACACATACACCCTCCCAAGTCAAAACCAGGAAGAAGTCAAATCCCTGAATAGACCACTAACAAGTTCTGAAATTGAGGCAGTAATTAATAGCCTACAAACAGCAACAATAAAAAAAGTCCAGGACCAGAGGGATTCACAGACGAATTCTACCTGAGGTACAAGAAGGAGCTGATACCTTCCTTCTGAAACTATTCCAAACAATAGAAAAAGAGGGAATCCTCCCTAACTCATTTTATGATAAAACAGGCTTTAAACCAACATCATCCTTTAAATCAGTATCATCCTGATACCAAAACCTGGCAGAGACACAACAAAAAAAGAAAATTTCTGGCCAATATCCCTGATGAACATCAATGCTGTTATACTCAATAAAATACTGGCAAAGCAAATCCAGCAGCACATTAAAAAACTTATCCTCCATGATCAAGTTGGCTTCATCCCTGGGATGCAAGGCTGGTTCAACATACGCAAATCAATAAACGTAATCCATCACATAAACAAAACCAATGACAAAAACCACATGATTATCTCAATAGATGCAGAAAAGACCTTTGACAAAATTCAACAACTTTCATGCTAAAAACTCTCAATAAACTAGGTATTGATGGAACGCATCTCAAAATAATAAGAGCTATTTGTGACAAACCCACAGCCAATATCATACTGAATGGGCAAAAACTGGAAGCATCCCTTTTGAAAACGGGCACAAGACAGGGATGCCCTCTCTCACCACTCCTGTTCAACATAGTATTGGAAGTGCTGGCCAGGGCAATCAGGCAAGAGAAAGCAATAAAGGGTATTCAAATAGGAAGAGAGGAAGTCAAATTGTCCCTGTTTAAAGATGACATGATTGTATATTTAGAAAACCCCATCATCTCAGCCCAAAATCTCCTTAAGCTGATAAACAACTTCTGCAGTCTCAGGATACAAAATCAACGTGCAAAAATCACAAGCATTCCTATACACCAATAATAGAGAGCCAAATCATGAGTGAACTCCCATTCACAATTACTACAAAGAGAATAAAATACCTAGGAATCCAAGTTACAAGGGACGTGAAGGACCTTATCAAGGAGAACTATGAACCAGTGGTCAAGGAAATAAGAGAGGACACAAACAAATGGAAAAACATTCCATGCTTGTGGATGGGAAGAATCAATATCGTGAAAATGGCCATACTTCCCAAAGTAATTTATAGATTCAATGCTATCCCCATCAAGCTGCCATTGACTTTATTCATAGAATTAGAAAATCTACTTTAAATTTCATCACTTCAGGTATTTATCTTTTGTGTTACAAACAATCCATTTACACAATTTTAATTATCTTTAAATTTACAATTAAATAATTATTGACTATAATCACCCTGTTGTGCTATCAAATACTAATCTTTTTATTCTTTCTACTTTTTATACCCATTAACTATCCCCACTTCCCCCTTACCCTCCCAATAATATTTGAAGCCTCTAGTAACAATGATCCTACTCTCTATCTCAATGAGTACAATTGTATTAATTTTTAGCTTCAACAAATAAGTGGGAACATGAGAAGTTTGTCTTTCTGTGCCTGGCTTACTTCACTTAACATGATGACTTCCAGTTGCAATCATGTTGTTGTAAAAATCAGGATCTCGTTCTTTTTCATGCCCAAATAGTATTCCATTGTGTATATGTACCGCAATTTCTTTATCTATTTTTCTGCTGATGGACACTTAGGTTGTTTCCAAATCTTGGCTATTGTGAATAGTGTAGCAATAAACATGGGAGTGCAGATATAACTTTGATATACTGATTTCCTTTTGGAGGGTATATACTTAGTGGCATTGTTATATCAAATGGTAGCCCTAATTTTAGTTTTTTTGGGGAGCCCCCAAACTCTCCATAGTGCTTGTACTAAGCTACACTCACACCAACACTGTACAAGGCTTTTCTTTGCTCCACATCCTCACCAGCATTTGTTATTACCTGTCTTTTGAGTTTTTAAAAAAATTTTTAAATTTTTATTTATTAATATTTTTGTTGATATTTAGTAGCTGTATATATTTATGGAGTACATGAGATGTCTTGATACATTCATGCAATATAAAATAAGCACATCATGGAGAATGGGGTGTATATCCCCTCAAGCATTTATCATTTGAGTTGCAAACAATCCAATTACACCTTTTAAGTTATTTTAAAATATACAATTCAGTTATTATTGACTATAGTTACCCTATTGTGCTATCAAATAGTAGGTCTTATTCATTCTTTCTAATTTTATTGTACCAATTAACCATCCCCACCTCCTTCCAGGCCCCACTGCCGTTCCCAGACTCTGGTAACTATCCTTCCACTCTTTACGTTCACGAGTTCAATTGATTGCATTTTTAGATCCCACAAATATGTAAATACATGTGATGTTTGTCTTTCTGTGCCTAGCTTATTTTATTAAGCGTAATAATATCCAGTTCCATCCATGTTATTGCAAATGACTGGATCTCATTATTTTTATGGCCAAATAGTACTCCATTGTGTATATGTACCAAATGTTCTCTATCCATTCATCTGTTGATGAACACTTACGCTGCTTCCAAATGTTACCTATTGTAAACAATGCTGCAACAAATATAGGAGTGCAGATATATCTTCGATGTACTGATTTTCTTTCTTTTAGGTACATACCTAGCAGTGAAATTCCTGTATTATATGTTAGCTCGGTTTTTAGTTTTTTAAGAAACCTCCAAACTGTTCTCCATAGTGGTTGTACTAATTTACCTTCCCACCAACAGTGCACGTAAGTTCCATTTTCTTCACATCCTCCCCTGCATCTGTTATTGCCTGTCATTTTGATATAAGCCATTTTAACTGTGGTGAGATAATAGCTTATTGTAGTTTGATTTGCATTTCTCTGATGATTAATGATGTTGAGCACATTTTCATATGCCTGTTTGCCATTTGTATGTCTTCTTTTGAGAAATGTCTATGCAGATCATTTGTTGGTTTACTTTTTGATCAGATTATTAGATTTATTTTCTATAGATTTGTTTGTGCTCTTTGTACATTCTGGTTATCTCTCCCTCATAAGATGGGTAGGTTCCAATTTTTTTCCCCATTCTGTGTGTTGTCTCTTCACTTTGTTGGCTTTTTTTTTTTTCCTTAGCAGAAGCTTTTTAACTTGATCCCATTTGTCCATTTTTTTTTGGTTGCTTGTGCTTATGGGGTATTGCTCAAGAAATATTTTGCCCAGTCCAGTGCCCTGGAGAGTTTCCCCAAAGTTTTATTTTAGTAGTTTCATAGCTTGAGGACTTATATTTAAAATTTCAATTCATTTTGATCTGATTTTTGTATATGATGAGAAATAAGCATCTAGTTTCATTCATCTGCATATGGATATCCAGTTGTCCCAGCACCATTTATTGAAGGAAATATCCTTTCCCAAATGTATGTTCTTGGCATATTTGTTGAAAATGAAATCACTGTAAATATATGAATTTTGGGGGGTTCCTATTTTGTTCCACTCTTCTACATGTTTGTTTCCATGCCATTACCCTGCCGTTTTGATTACTAGAACTCTGTAGTATAATATGAAATCAGGTAATGTGATCCCTCCAGTTTTGTTCTTTTTCTTCAGGATTGCTTTGGCTATTCTTGGTCTTTTGTGGTTCTATATACATTTTAAGATTGTTTTGTCTATATCTGTGGAGAATGTCATTGATATTTTGAAAGGTATTGCATTGAATTTGTAGATTGATTTGTGTAGTGTAAACATTTTAACAATATAGATTCTTTCAATCCATGAACTTGGAATATCTTTCCAAATTTTGGTGTCCTCTTCAGTTACTTTCATCAAAGTTTTATAGTTTGTATTGTAGAGATCTTTCACTTCTTTGGCAAAGTTAATCCTTAGGTATTTAATTTTATTTGTGGCTACTATAAATGGAATTTGTTTATATTTATATTTCAGACTTTTTGCTTTTGGCATATAAAAATGCTATCGATTTTTGCATGTTGATTTTGTATCCTGCAACTTTACTGAATTTGTTTAACATTTCTAATAGTTATTTTGTAAAGTGTTCCAGTTTTTCTGCAAACAAGGGTAATTTGATATTTGGAAAAATTATTTGATTTCTTTCTTTCCAATTTGGATGCACTTTTTTTCTTTATCTTATCTGACTGTTTGAGCTGGAACTTCCAGTACTATGTTGAATAACTGTGGTCAAAGTGGGCATCCTGTTTGTGTTCCATACACAACCAGGGCATCCTGGCTTTCTGTTTTTCCCCATTGAGTATAATACTAGCTGTGATTCTGATCTATATGGCTTTCAATATGTTGAGGTATGTTACTTCTATACTCTGTGTTGAGGACATTTATTGTTAAGGGTTGTCTGTTTACTCTGTAGATCATTTCTCATTCTGTTCAGAAGCTCTTTATTTTAATTAGATATCATTTGCCAATTTTTGCTTTTGTTGTAGTTGGTTTTGGCGTCTTCATCCTAAAATCTTTGCTCATTCCTATGTCCAGAATGGTATTGCCTAAGTTGTTTTCCAGGCTTTTTATGGTATTGGGTTTTACATTTAAGTCTTTAATTTATATTTATTTGACTATTGTATATGGTGTAAGAAAGAGGTCCAGTTTTAATCTTCTGTATGTGGCTAGCCAGTTATCCCAGCATCCTTTTCCCATTGCTTGTTTTTGTCACTTTTGCCAAAGACCAGTTAGTTGTAAGTGTGTGGCTTTACTTCTGGGCTCTCTTTCCTGTTCCATTGGTCTATCTGTCCGTTTTTGTAGCAGTACTATGCTGTTTTGATTACTGTAGATGTGTTGTATAGTTTGAAAAGTGGTAACATGATGCCTCAAACTTTGTTCTTTCTGGTTAAGATTCCCCTGGCAATTCAAGCTGTTTTTAGGTTCTGTATGAATTTGTAAATATTTTTTTCTAGGTCTGTGAAAAACATCAATGGCAGCTTAATAGGAATACCATTGCATCTGTAAATTACTTTGGGCCATATGGCCATTTTAGTGATATTGATTCTTATTATCCATGAGTATGGATTTTTTTATTTGTTTATGTCATCTCTGTTATTTTTGAGTAATGTTTTATAGTTCTCCTTGTAGAGATCTTTTACCTTCCTAGTTAGGTGTATTTATAGATATTTTAGTTTTTTGATGCAATTGTGAATGGCATTGCATTTTTGGTTTGATTCTCAGTTTGACTGTTATGGTTGTATAGGAATCCTACTGATTATTGTATGTTCATTAAATATTTTGAGATTTGCTGGAGTTGTTTATCAGCTTAAGAAGTTTTTGAGCCAAAGCAATGAGATTTTTTCCTAGATATGGGATCATGAGATCTGCCAAATGAGATAGTTTGACTTCCTCTCTTACTATTTGGATACTCTTTCTTTTTTTTTTTTTTCCTTATTGTTCTGGCCAGGACTTCCAATACTACGTTGAATAGGAATGGTGAGAGAGGACATCCTTGTCTTGTGCTGGCTTTCCAGACGACTGCCTTCAGCTTTTGCCCATAATGTTAGCTGTGGGTTTGTCATAGATGGCTTTTATTATTTTGAAGTGCATTCCATCAATACCTAGTTCATTGAGAGTTTTTAACATGAAGGGGTGTTGAATTTCATCAAGTCTTGTCTGCTTCAATTGAGATAATCATGTGGTTTTTGTTTTTAGTTCTGTTTATGTGATGAATCCCATTTATTGATTTGTGTATGTTTAACCAACCTTGCATCTCTGAAAAAAGCCCACTTGATTGTGGTGGATTAGCTTTTTTATGTGTTGCTGAATTTGATTTGCCAGTATTTTGTTGAGAATTTTTGCATCATGTTAAACAAGGATATTAGACTAAAGAGTTTTTTTTTTTTTTTCCTTTGGGACACGGTGGTGGAATCAGTCTCTGTCTGGTTTACTATGAGAATGATGCTGGCCTCATAGAGTAAGTTAGGGAAGAGTTCCTCCTTCTTAATATTTTTGAAACAGTTTTGGTAGGAATGTTACCATCCCTTCTTTGTACATGTGGTAGAATGCAGCTAAAAATTCATCTGGTCTTGGAGTTTTTTTGGTTGCTAGTTTATTTATTACTGATTCAATTTTGAAGCTCATTATTGGCATGTTCAAGGATTTAATTTCTTCCTGACTTAGTCTCAGAAAAGTGTATGTGAATAGGAATTTATTCATGTCTTCAAGATTTTCTAGTTTGTGTTCATATAGGTGTTCATAATTTTCTCTGATGATTATTTGTACTTCTGTGGGTTCAGTGGTAATATTCCCTTTGTCATTTCTAATTATGTTTATTCGGATCTTCTATCTCTTATTCTTTATTAGTTTAGCTAGCAGTCTATTTTATTAATTATTTTATAAATACCAACTCCTGGATTCATTGATCTATTAAATTTTTTTTTATATCTCAGTCTCTTTCAGTTCAGTACAGATTTTGGTTATTTCTTGTCTTCTGGCCTTGGCACTGAGTTTCTCTTGGTTCTGTAGTTCTTTTAGTTATGAGGTTAGGTTGTTAAATTGAGATCTCTTTAACATTTTTCTGTGGGAATTTAGTGTTATATTTTTCTCTCTTAACATTGCCTTACCTATTTCCCAGAGATTCTGGTATGTTTTGTCTTTTATTACTTTCAAATAACTTCCTCACTTCTACCTTAATTTTATTATTTAACCAGAAGTCATTCAGGAGCAGTTTATTCAATTTACATGTAATTGTATTGTTTTGAGCAAATCTCTTTTGCTTGATTTCTAATTTGATCGTGCTGTGGTCTGAGAGAGTTGTTGTTATGTCAGTTCTTTCGCATTTACTGATGAGTGTTTTATGTCCAATTATGTGATCGATTTTAGAGTTGTGGCATGTGGCAATGAGAAGAATGTATATGCTGCTGTTTTGAGGTGGAGAGTTCTGCAGATGTCTATCAGATCCATTTGATCCAGTGATGAGTTAAGGTCCTGAATATCTTTAATTTACTGTCTTTATAATCTGTCTAATACTGTCAGTGTGACATTGAAGTCTTCCATTATTATTGTTCAGAAGTCTAAGTCTCTTTGAAGGTCTCTAAGAACTTGCTTTATGAATCTGGGTGCTCCTGTGTTGAGTGCATATATATTTAGAATAGTTTAGCCTTCTTGTTGACTTGGACCCTTTACCATTGTATTAGTTCATTCTCTTATTGTTATAAAGAAATATTTGAGACTGGGTAATTTATTTAAAAAAAGGTTTAATTGGCTTATGCTTCCACAGACTGTACAGGAAACATGGCAGCATCAGCTTCTGGGAAGGCCTCTGGAATATTTTACTTATGGCAGAAGGCAAAGCAGGAGCAGGCATTTTAACATGGCCAGAGCAACAGAAAGGCCGAGAAGGTGGGATGTGCTATACACTTTAAAACAATCAGATCTTGTGAGAACTCACTCACTATAGGGTACCAAGGGGTGATGTTGCTAAACCATTTAGGAGAACTCTACTCCCATGATCCAATCACCTCCTGCCAGGCCTCTCCTCCAACACTGGAGATTACAATTCCACATGAGACTTGGGAAGGGACACAAACACAAACCATAGCAAGAATTATGTAATTCCCTCCTTTGTTGTTTTTGATCCTTGTTGGTTTAAAGTCTGTTTTGTCTGAAATTATGATAGCAATCTCTGCTTTTTTTCTGATTTCCATTTGCTTGTTAGATTTTCTTCATTCTGCTCCTGGCCTCTCCCAAATCTCCTCTTTCTCACATTTCAAAATACAATCATGCCTTCCCAAAAGTTACCCAGAGTCTTAACCCATTCCAGCATTAACTCAAAAGTCCATAGTTCAAACTCTTATCTGAGACAAGCAGTGTTGCTTTGGACTATGAGTCTGCAAAATCAAAACAAGTTAGTTATGTTCAGGATCCAGCGAAGGTATGGGCATTGGGTAAATTTCCCCATTCTAAAAGGGAGAAATCAGCCAAAACAAAGGGCCTACAGGCCCAGTGTAAGTCTGAAATCCAGCAAGGCAGTCAAGATTTAAGCTTTAAATCTTAAAGCTACAAAATAATCTCATTTGACTCCATATCTCACATCCAGGTCACACTGATGCAATGGGTGGATTCCCAATCTTTGGTCTGCTTTGCCCCTGTGGCTTTTCAGGGTTTTGCCCCTTTGGCTGCTCTCATGAGCTGGCATTGAGTGTCTTCAGCTTTTCTAAAAGGAAATTGCAAATGGCTAGTCAATCTACCATTCTGGGGTCTGGAGGATGATGGCCCTCTTCTCACAGATCCACTAGTCAATGCCCCAGTGGGGACTTTGTTTGGGGGCTCCAACCTCATTTTTTTCTTCCTCACTTCCTCAGAAGAGGTTCTCCATGAGGGCTCTGCTCCTGCAGCAGGCTTCTGCATGGAGATCCAGGCCTTTTCATACATCCTCTGAAATCTAGGCAGAGGCTCCCCAGCCTTAATTCTTGCATTTTGTGTACTTGCAGGCTTAACACCACATGGAAGCTGCCAAGGCTTATGGTTTGCACTCTCTGAAGCAGTGACTCAAATTGTATCTGGGACCCTTTTAGGAATAGCTGGAGCTGGAGCAGCTGGGATGCAGGGACCAGTGTCCTGAAGTTGTGCAGGGCAGTGGGTCCCTCAGCCTGACTCATGAAACCATTCTTCCCTCCTAGGCCTCCAGGCCTGTGATGAAAAGGGATGCCACAAAGGTCTTTGAAATGTCTTTCAAGCCTTCCCCCCATTGTCTTGAATAGTAACAGTTGACTCCTTTTCACTTGTGCAAATTTCTGCAGCCTGCTTGAATTCCTCCCCACAGAAATAGGCTTTTCATTTTTACCACATGACCCGGCTGCAAATTTTTAAAACTTTTACACTCTGATTCCCTTTTAAATATAACTTTCAGTTTTACATCATTTCTTTGCTCATGCATATGAGCATAGGTGATTAGAAGAAGCCAGGTCACATCTTAAATGCTTTGCCGCTTAGAAATGTTTTTATACCAGATACCCTAAATCATCATTCTCAAGTTCAAAGTTCCACAGCTCCCTAGGGCTGGGGTACAATGCAGCCAATCTCTTTGTTAACTCATAATGAATGTGACCTTTGCTTTAGTTCCCAATAAGTTCCTCATCTCCACCTAAGACCTCCTCAACCTAGACTTAATTGTCCATATCACCATCAGCATTTTGGTCACAACCATTCAACCAGTCTCTAGGATGTTCTGAATTTTCCCTCATCTTCCTCTCTTCTTCTGAGCCCTCCACACTCTTCCAACTTTAGCCAGTGTATTGATCCATTCTCACATTGCTATAAAAAAATAACTGAGACTGTGTAATTTATAAAGAAAAGGGGTTTTCTTATCTCACATTTCCATGGGCTGTACAGGTATCATGTCTGGGAAGGCCTTAGGAAATTTTTAATCATGGCAGAAGGCAAAAGAGAAGCAGGTATGTCTTCACATGGTTGGAGAAGGAGAGAGAGAAGGGGCAGGTGCTACACACTTTTAAGCAACCAGATCTTGTGAGAACTCACTCACTATTACAAGAACAGCAAGGGAGAAATGCACCCCCATGATCCAATCACCTCCCACCAGGCCCCTCTTCCAACACTGGGAATTACAATTTGACATGAGATTTGGGCAGGGACACAAATCCAGACTGTATCAACTGATTACCTAATTTCAAAGCTGCTTCCACATTTTGAGGTATCTTTATAGCAATACTCCACTCCTCAGTACCAATTTTCTGTATTAGTTCATTCTCACACTGCTATAAAGAAATACCTGAGACTGGGTAATTTATTAGAAAAAGAGGTTTAAGTGTCTCACAGTTCCACAGGCCGTACAGGAAGTATGGCAGCATCTGCTTTTGGGGAGTCCTCAGGGAGACATTACTCATGGCAGCATGAAAAACAGGAGAAGGCATCTTCACGTGGCCAGAGCGGGAGGAGGAGAGAGAAATGGGAGGTGCTATAAACTTTTAAACAATCATATCTTGTGACAATTTACTCACTATACAGTACCAAATGGGGACGGTGCTAAACCATTTGTGAGATCTCCACCCCCATGATCCAATAACCTCCTGCCGGGCCCCTTTTTCAACATTAGGGATGACAATTCCACATGAGATTTAGGTGGGGATACAGATCCAAACCATATCAACCATTATGGAATGCCCTTCTTTGTCATTTTTTATCTTTTTAGTTGAAAGTCTGTTTTGTCTGAAATTAGGGCTGTAACCCCTGCTTTTTTCTAATTTCCACTTGCTTGGTAGATTTTCTTCCATCCCTTTATTTTCAGACTATGAGTGTCATTGCATGTGAGACGAGTCTTTTGAAGAAAGAATTAAATTGGGTCTTGCTGTTTTATCTACCTTGCTACTCTGTGCCTTTTAACTGGGGCGGTTAACCTATTTACATTTAAGGTTAGCATTGGTATGTGTGAATTTGATCCTGTCACCATGATGGTTGTTAATTATTATGCAGACTAGTTTGTGTGGTTATTTTTCAGTGTCATTGGTCTGTGCACTTAAGTGTCTTTTTATAGTGGCTGGTAATGGTCTTTTTCCATATTTAATGCTTCCTTCATGAGTTTCTGTAAGGCAGTTCTGTTGGTAACAAATTCCCACTGCATTTGCTTGTGCAAAAATGATATTATTTCTCCTCTGCTTATGAAGCTTAGTTTGGTTGAATATGAAATCCTGGGCTTGAATTTCTTTTTTTTTTTTTTAATAATGTTGAATATTGGCCGCCAATCTCTTCCGGCTTATAAAGTTTCTGCTGAGAGGTCCACTGTTAGTCTGATGAGCTTTCCTTTGTAGGTGACCTGAATTTCTCTTTAGCTGCCTCTAACATTTTTCTTTCATTTTGACCTTAGAGAATCTGATGATTGTGTGTCTTGGGAACAATCTTTTTGTGAAGTGTCTTACTGGAATTCTCTGTATTTCCTGAATATGAATGTTGGCCTCTCTAGCTAGGTTGTATAAGTTCTCATGGATGATATCCTGAAATATGTATTCCAAGTTGCTTACACTTTCCCCATCTCTTTCAGGGAAACAAATGCATCATAGACTTGATCTCTTTACATAATCTCATATTTTTCAGAGTTTTTGTTTGTTCCTTTAAATTATTTTTTCTCCATTATTGTCTCAGTGTCTTATCTCAGAGCCTGAAGACTGGCTCTGCTTCTTCTGCTTTGCCTGTTCTGCTATTAATACTTATGTTTGCATTATGAAATTCTTACAGTGTGTTTTTTAGGTTTTTCAGGTAAGTTATGTAATTTTTTACATTGGATATTTTGCCTGTCAACTCCTGCATCGTTTTATGATTTTCAGCTTCCTTGGATTAGCTTTAAACATACTCCTGTATCTCAATGATCTTCATTGCTACCCATATTCTGAATTCTATTCCTGTCATTTTAGCCCTCTCAGCCTGGTTCAGAACACTTGGTGGGGAGGTGGTGCTGTTGCTTGGAGGAAAGAAAGCACTCTGGCTTTTTACATTTTCAGAGTTCTTGCATTAGTTTTTTCTCATATTTGTGGGCTTATGTTTCTTCAGTGCTTGATGTTTCTGACCTTTGGATGGATTTATTTCTTTTATTTTATTTGATGACCTTGAGGATTTGATCATGGTAAAAGGTGGATTCAGCCAAATGGCTTTGTTGATGGAAGACTTTAGGGGGCCAGCACTCAGCTCCCAACTCCTGGACTCCCTATTCTAACTATGAGGGACTTTTATGAGGCCCTGACTTTTTGATCTGGCTCCTCCAGGTTAGGAATCCACTGTGTTGGGGGTGGGAATGGGGTGGGGACAGAGGTGCTCCCAGACCACTGGGCACTACCCTTTAACGTGGTGTCAACCAAAGCATTTCATAGTGCTGTGACAGCAGGATTTGTCCTCATTTGCACATGCCAGCAGCCCCCAGCAGTGGCAGTGCAGCTGGTTGCATGTTCATTGGCTGTGGAAGGGTGGTAGCGCCTGCTGGGCTGCTTGTCTCAGTGTGGGAGTTCACCACAAGGTTGGGGAAAATGTAGCTGGGGGCGGTTTCACGGGGCCTCTGCTGGTGACTGTGTGTGCAGTCACACTGGTAGTGGTGTTTGCATGGGGCGGGGCACTGGTGGGCCCAGGTTTGTGTGCACTCTCTGTGTGTTGCAGTCAGAGGTGGTTGCTGAGGGCAGGGGAGGGTCTGCTCTTCTTCGTACCTAGTTTCACTTTTGCGGCACTGTTGATGCAAGGGTGAGGCACTGGCGGGTATGGGGCTGGCTGGTGCTGTGCCCGTCAAGGCTCTGCCTGCAATGGTGGTTGGCAAGGAGAGGAAGGGGTGAACTGCGCTCTCGCTGCAGCAGTGGCAGGGCAGGGTGCATGCACACACGTGCACTGGCAGGGCAAGAAAGGCACACACGTGCCAGCAAAGCAATATGGGCGTTACTGGGGCCTGGTGAAAGTTGCAGTGTGGGTAACGAGCAGGTAGGCTGGCCACCGCACTTGAGCTCTCTGCTGGTAAGTCATGGTCCGCCAGCACAGGAGGCATTACTTGAGTTCCCAGGGCACTTGAGGCTGTCCTGCAAGCCGGCCAGCCAGGCTGGGGCCCCGGGAGAAGCCAACAGACCAAGGGGTGCTGAGATTGGACCAGCTCCATCTGATGGGCGAGACCACCCTGCAGAATTCAGCCCCAACAATTCCCCTGGGGCTAAAGTCTTCTATGCGAGCAAGTGGAGCCTAGGAGGATAGCTGACCGTGTCCATGTTCAGTCACAGATGCTCCCGCACCGGACTCTCTAGGCTCCACATCAGCTGTTTGCTGCCCCTACCACTTCTCTAAGCACCTCTCCCTGCCAACTCTAGTGTCAGGTGGCCGAGGGGTTTCCTTCTGCTGGGATTCCAGAGGCCCATGGAGAGAGCAGGTTGCTTTTTGCCAGTAAAACTCATCCATTCCCCCAAGTCATTGGGGGCCAGGAATGAGTCCTGGTGTGCGATCACGCCCTGGAGAGTTCCCAGCGTTCTCCCCCTTCAGCCTAGCTTCTTTGTCTTGCCTCCATGTACTCTAGTGCTTTCCCTCTGAAGATCTGTTAGGAATGTGCCAGTCATCATCTCGGTCCCTCGGTGGCAACTGTTCCACCTGGCTGCGTGTAGTAAGCCATCTTGCCCTCCCTCCCCAGCCATGTCCGAAATATATTTTTTCTTATTGTTGACTTTGTCCTTTAATTTTACAGGACTGGGAATAACTGGCTTCTCAAACCAATTGACTTCTCTCTTAATAAATTGTTAATTTAGTCCTTCTCATTTTGCTTTCAGTAACAACATGAGAACACTAAATTCAGTTATTTTTTGCCCAGAGCTAAGTTGTAGTTTCACTCCATCAGCCATAAGATAAAGGCATGCTGTTGACTTAATTACTCATTTTACTCCTGCAGGCTCATAATTTTCCTTGTTCCACCAAAAAGCTCCATTTTCAGAGAGCTTCATGGCTTCTTTGTTCTTTCTATTGCCTCTCTCAAGCCTTCAGATGTAAAAATGATCTTTGTTTTTAAGTCTGGATTATGACAAAGTCTTTGGGGGAAGCTGGCTTAGCAAATATTGTAAGAACCATATATGTATGCTTTGGGAGTCAAACATTCATATAAAAAAGAATACATTTCAGGTACAGAGTAAATGAACAGCTAATGCATGTCATAATATTCTAACTACTAATGATTCCTCCATGTAGACATCCATAAAATGAAGTTCTTGAATTTTACTTAGTCTTAAATTGTTAATGAAGGCCATGGAATCTATTTCCACTTTCTACATCCAAGTTAGATATTGGCAAATCGTTTCTCACTTTCTCATTTCATTTGTACATTTTAATTTGCTTTAAAATAGAGCCTGAAGTTTTATATCACTTTAGATAAAATTCTAGATGGTTTCTTAGTAGTCTAGATGCAGTCTTTTGGGGATTCAAGTTTTCTATTTACTAATATATAACATTATTACACATATCTGAATTAGTTAAATAATTAATCATTTTTGTTTGCTGATAGAACTTGGACACCCAGAGCAAACTGAATGCAAATTGTTTAAGTTACAAGCACTAGAGCTCAAATAATTTTTAACAGGTATCATCTTTGTCCATCTTCAGTTATGTTTCTTCTATTAATTGATTTATTTCATCAGAAAGATAGAATTCACAGGTGGAAGGTGCACTTTGTTTTTAATGCAGTCATTTTTTTTATTTATGGGTAAGTTTTTTATTTATTCATTAGTATCCCTCATTTCCATAGTCATCATAATAAAGAAACAATAATCATTAACAAAGCAGTCTTTTCAACTTACACAAGGGACAAAGAACAGCATCAAAGAATGGAAGCCTAGGAATAGCTCTTGGTTAAAGCAGAGTGTCATTCCTTGAGAGATCTGAGAATTTGTGAGCAGGCAAGGTGCACATCTTTTTGCCACAATCGGTTGCCCTATTATAGTGGCAGTTCTTAACAGTGGAAAATTGCTTCTGCCTATTATCATAATCACCAAATCCCTTAGCTTGTCTACCATTCTGTTCACTGATTAATTTTCTTCTAAGAGAAGAGACATGACTCTAAGCAGTTTAGGTAAAATTCACTACTTTATATTTTTTCTAAGAAGCAAATATATGAAGCTTTTAGTCAGGTATGTAGTTGTCACAGGCTGTGTATTAGTAAGACTTTCAAGGTCATCATTTCTCATCCAAATACGAATTTTTTCAGAAAAAAAGTGTTATTACTTCTATTAATACTATTACAAAAACAATAATTATAACCTGTAACTGTCCAGGAAAACCAGGGCTATAGTTGCTTAGAAATAGAAGAGTGTGAAAACAAATGTCCAAGTGTGAAGTAAATTTCAAAACATATTTGAATTATAGGTAAAAATGAAAGCAAGATATCAACCTCAAGGAAAGATGATGGTATGTAGATCTGTAATAAAGATACCAAACTTACAAATGTTCAGTTTAAAAGGCACCCTGGAGTACTAAACACACATGTCATGATACTTGAGTTAATAGTAGACACGCCAAGCCAAAAAATGACTTCCAAAAAATTGTGACATTTACTTATATTCATTCAGATTTTAAAATTTGGTATTTTAATATGCCACTAAACATAGAAAATGACCTAGAAGAGTGAAATTCTTTACCCATGTACAATGTTCTCTTGTTGTATGGTCAGCAATCCAGCAGAGGGAGCACACAATAGTAAATGATGAAATACTAGAAGAGCTAGCCCTCTACAGAAGTCCACAATAATATGGATATATGAATCATAGAGTTAACCTGTGACTTAAACGTTTTCTTTCACTTCATGAAAAAATTACTGTGGAGACATGTTCCTTTCTAAAACAAATCATGTCTCTTTTTGTTTTCAGTAAGATTTTTTCTATCTGTGTGTATGCCATTGAATGGTGTCTCCAATTTCTTCACAATGAAAATTCTCTGTGATGTCTCAGAAAGAGGGAAGGAATGTTTTTATGTGCACTTCTGCATCTAGAATGCCAGTATTTTTTCTTGTTATTGTTTCCATTTAAAATTTTGAGGATACATTATGTTTATGAAATATTTTGTCTTCTGAGTCTTTATAATGCATAACTAATATGCTAAGTACTAAAGACTATATATTAGTCTTGAAGAATAATGGGAACGCAACATTCCATTTATTTTGGGAAGATTATATTTGGTTTTATGGATTTTGATATATATTTATACTGCAAGGATAGTACCAACTAATACTATACCCAAAGATAATATTACACCCAAGGATATGCTATGCCCAAAGATAGTACTAAAATAGTATTTATACCCAAAGATAGTACCAACTAGTGAAGATCAGACCAAAGCAACAGAACGAACAGTTTGTGATTGATTTCAAGCTTGACTAAACCAAATGAATATGGCACAATATGTTTTTGGTAAATATAAAATGTATTTGCTCTTTAATTCACTAAGGCAAACATGTATTATTTAAAACAAAATGAGTCACCAATGTCCAGTATATGTTTACTTACTAGTTTTTGTTTTCCAAATTAAAAATAGTTGTATCCCTTTTTATAACTTATATAAAATTTACAAATGCAAAAAAAGAAGAAAATACAGTTATACGTATTCAAAAATAAATGCTACTATTATTTTCTTAATGTTTTTAATTTTGGGGAGTACATAGTAGGTGTATGTGTTTATTGGGTACATGAGATATTTGAATACATACAACACATAATAATCATATTGGCGTAGATAATCCACAGCCAAAAACATTTATTCTTTGTGTTACAAATAGTCCAATTATGCTCTTTTAGTTATTTAAAAATGTACAGTTAAATTATTATTGACTATAGTCACCCTGTTGTGCCATAAAATGTAGGAGCTCATTCATTCTTTCTAACTAACTAACTAACTAACTAATTCACTATATGTATTTTGCTCCAGTAACTATCTACACTTCTACCACACCTCCCAGCCTCTGGTAACCATCTTTCTACTCTCTATGTCCATGAGTTCAATTGTTTTAATTTTTAGCTCTAACAAATAAGTGAGAACATGAAAAGTTTATCCTTCTGTGCCTGACTTATTTCACTAAACAAAATGACCTTCAGTTCCATTTATGCTGTTGTAAATGTCAGAATCTAATTATTTGTTATGGCTGACTACCACTCCGTTGTGTATATGTACCACATTTTCTTTATTCATTCATCTGTTGATAAACACTTAGGTTGCTTTCAAATGTTGGCTATTGTAAATAGTGTTGTAAAAAACGTAGGGGTGCAGATATACCTCTGATATATTGACTTCCCTTTTTGGGGGAATATATTTAGCAGTGGGATTGCTGCATCATGTAGGACGTCTATTTTTAGTTTTTTGAGGAATTTCCAAGCTGTTCTTCATAATGGTTGTATTATTGTACATTCCCACCAACAGTATACAGTTTTCTCTTTTATCCACATCCTCACAAGCATTTGTTATTGCCAGTATTTTGGATAAAAGCCATTTTAGGCCAGGCGCGGTGGCTCACGCCTGTAATCCCAGCACTTTGTGAAGCCGAGGAGGGTGGATCACCTGAGGTCGGGAGTTCGAGACCACCTGACCAACATGAAGAAACGCTGTCTCTATTAAAAGTACAAAATTAGCCGCACATGGTGGCGCATGCCTTTAATCCCAGCTACCTGGGAGTCTGAGGCAGGAGAATGGCTTGAACCTGGGAGGCGGAGGTTGCAGTGAGCCAAGATCTGGCCCTTGCACTCCAGCCTGGGCAACAAGAGAGTAACTCTGTCTCAAAAAAGAAAAGAAAAAGAAAAAAAGCCATTTTAACTGAAAGAGATGATATCTCATTTTAGTTTTGATTTGCATGATTCTGATGATGAATGATGTTTAACACCTTTTCATTTACCTGTTTTTCATTTGTATATCTTCTTTTGAGAACTGTCTATGCAGATTTTTGGCCCATTTGTTAATTGGACTATAAGATGCTTTCCTATTGAATTGTTTGAGCATTTTATATATTCTGGCTATTAATCCCTTCTCAGATGGATAGTTTACAAATAATTTTGCCTATTCTGCGAGTTGTGTCTCCCCCCCCCCTTTTTTTTTAACTGTTTCCTTTGTTGTGGAGAAGCTTCTTAACTTAATGTGATCCCCTTTGTCCATTTTTGTTTTGGATGTCTGTGCTTGTGGGGGTACTAGTCAAGAAATTCTGGCCCAGTCTAATGTCCTGGAGAGTTTTCTAAAGTTGTGTTTTAGTAGTTTCATAGTTTGAGGTCTTAGATTTAAGTCTTTAATCCAGTTTGATTTGATCTCCTTATAAGGAAAGAGATATTGGTCTAGTTTTATTCTTCTGCATATGGATATCTTATTGTCCCAGCACTATTTATTGAATAGACTGTTGTTTTCTCGATGTATGATGTTGGCATGTTTATTGAAAATAAGTTCACTGTGGATGTATAAGTTTGTTTTGGGGTTCTCTATTCCGTTACATTGCTCTATGTGTCTGTTCTTATGCCAGTACACTGCTGATTTGGTTATTATAGCTATGTTGTATAATTTGAAATCAAGCAATGTGATTCCTCAGTTCTGTTGTTATTGCTCAAAATAGCTATGGCTATTCTGGGTCTTTTGTGGTTCTATATAAATTTTAGAATTTTTTTCTGTTTCTGTGAAGAATAATAGTATTTTGAGAGGCATTATATTGAATCTGTCGATTGCTTTTTGTAGTATGAACATTTTAACAATGTTGATTTTTCTAATACATGAACATGAAATACCTTTTCATTTTTAGGTGTCCTCTTTAATTTCTTTCAGCAAAGTTTTACAGTTTTTACTCTAAAGATTTTTCACTTCAGCTAATTCTTAAATATGTAATTTAATTTTTTTTCAGGCAGCATTATTTATTGATTTTTTTCTTTGTAAATAAAGTTTTATTATAACACAGTCATGTTCATTCATTTACATATTGTCCATGGCTTCTTTTGTACTACAACAGTGGCCCCCAAACTGTTTTTTTTATTATTATACTTTAAGTTCTAGGGTACATGTGCACAATGTGCAGGTTTGTTACATATGTATACATGTGCCATGTTGGTGTGCTGCACCCATTAACTCGTCATTTACATTAGGCATATCTCCTAATGCTATCCCTCCCCTCTCCCCCCACCCCATGACAGGCCCCGGTGTGTGATGTTCCCCTTCCTGTGTCCAAGTGTTCTCATTGTTCAATTCCCACCTATGAGTGAGAACATGCAGTGTTTGGTTTTTTGTCCTTGTGGTAGTTTGCTGAGAATGATGGTTTCCAGCTTCATCCATGTCCCTACAAAGGACATGAACTCATCATTTTTTATGGCTGCATAGTATTCCATGGTGTATATGTGCCACATTTTCTTAATCCAGTCTATCATTGTTGGACATTTGGGTTGGTTCCAAGTCTTTGCTATTGTGAATAGTGCCACAATAAACATATGTGTGCATGTGTCTTTATAACAGCATGATTTATAATCCTTTGGTCATATACCCAGTAATGGGATGGCTGGGTCAAATGGTATTTCTAGTTCTAGATCGCTGAGGAATCGCCACACTGACTTCCACAATGGTTGAACTAGTTTACAGTCCCACCAACAGTGTAAAAGTGTTCCTATTTCTCCACATCCTCTCCAGCATCTGTTGTTTCCTGACTTTTTAATGATCGCTATTCTAACTGGTGTGAGATGGTATCTCATTATGCTTTTGATTTGCATTTCTCTGATGGCCAGTGATGATGAGCATTTTTTCATGTGTCTGTTGGCTGAATAAATGTCTTCTTTTGAGAAGTGTCTGTTCATATCCTTTGCCCACGTTTCGATGGGGTTGTTTGTTTTTTCTTGTAAATTTGTTTAAGTTCTTTGTAGATTCTGGATATTAACCCTCTGTCAGATGGGTAGATTGTAAAATTTTTCTCCCATTCTGTAGGTTGCCTCTTCACTCTGATGGTAGTTTCTTTTGCTGTGCAAAACCTCTTTAGTTTAATTAGATCCCATTTGGCAATTTTGGCTTTTGTTGCCATTGCTTTTAGTGTTTTAGACATGAAGTCGTTTGCATGCCTGTCTCCTGAATGGAATTGTCTAAGTTTTCTTCTAGGGTTTTTATGGTTTTAGGTCTAACGTTTAAGTCTTTAATCCATCTTGAATAATTTTTGTATAAGGTGTAAGGAAGGGATCCATTTTCAGCTTTCTACATATGGCTAGCCAGTTTTCCCAGCACCATTTATTGAATAAGGAATGCTTTCCCCATTTTTTGTTTTTGTCAGGTGTGTCAAAGATCAGATGGTTATAGATGTGTGGTATTATTTCTGAGGGCTCTGTTCTGTTCCATTGGTCTACATCTCTGTTTTGGTACCAGTACCATGCTGTTTTGGTTACTGTAGCCTTGTAGTATAGTTTGAAGTCAGGTAGCATGATGCCTCCAGCTTTGTTCTTTTGGCTTAGGATTGTCTTGGCAATGCAGGCTCTTTTTTGGTTCCATATGAACTTTAAAGTAGTTTTTTCCAATTCAGTGAATAAAGTCATTGGTAGCTTGATGGGCATGGCATTGAACCTGTAAATTACCTTGGGCAGTATGGCCATTTTCACAATATTGATTCTTCCTATCCATGAACACGAAATGTTCTTCCACTTGTTTGTGTCCTCTTTTGTTTCATTGAGCAGTGACTTGTAGCTCTCCTTGAAGAGGTCCTTCACATCCCTTGTAAGTTGGATTCCTAGGTATTTTATTCTCTTCGAAGCAATTTTTGGCTCTCTGTTTGTCTGTTATTGGTGTATAAGAATGCTTGTGATTTTTGCACATTGATTTTGTATCCTGAGACTTTGCTGAAGTTGCTTATCAGTTTAAGGCGATTTGGGGCTGACACGATGGGGTTTTCTAAATATACAATCATGTCATCTGCAAACAGGGACAATTTGACTTCCTCTTTTCCTGACTGAATACCCTTTTTTTCTTTCTCCTGCCTGACTGCCCTGGCCAGAACTTCCAACACTATGTTGAACATGAGTGGTGAGAGAGGGCATCCCTGTCTTGTGCCAGTTTTCAAAGGGAATGCTTCCAGTTTTTGCCCATTCAGTATGATATTGGCCATGGGTTTGTCATGAATAGCTCTTATTATTTTGATATACGTCCCATCAGTACCTAATTTATTAGAGTTTTTAACATGAAGGGCTCTTGAATTTTGTCAAAGGCCTTTTCTGCATCTATTGAGATAATCATGTGGTCTTTGTCTTTGGTTCTGTTTACATGCTGGATTACGTTTATTGATTTGCATATGTTGAACCAGCCTTGCACCCCAGGGATGAAGCCCACTTTATCATCGTGGATAAGCTTTTTGACGTGCTGCTGGATTTGGTTTGCCAGTATTTTATTGAGGATTTTTGCATCAAAGTTCATCAGGGATATTGGTCTAAAATTCTCTTTTTTTTTTGTTGTGTCTCTGCCAGACTTTGGTATCAGGATGATGCTGGCCTCATAAAATGAGTTAGGGAGGATTCCCTCTTTTTCTATTGATTGGAATAGTTTCAGAAGTAATGGTACCAGCTCCTCCTTGTACCTCTGGTAGAATTCAGCTGTGAGTCCGTCCTGTCCTGGACTTTTTTTGTTGGTAGGCTCTTAATTATTGCTTCAATTTCAGAGCCTGTTATTGGTCTATCCAGAGATTCAACTTCTTCCTGGTTTAGTCTTGGGAGGGTGTATGTGTTCAGGAATTTATCCATTTCTTCTAGATTTTCTAGTTTATTGGCGTAGAGGTGTTTATAGTATTCTCTGATGGTAGTTTGTATTTCTGTGGAATCTGTGGTGATATCCCCTTTATCATTTTTTATTCCATTTATTTGATTCTTCTCTCTTTTCTTCTTTATTAGTCTTGCTAGCAGTCTATCAATTTTGTTGATCTTTTCAAAAAACCATCTCCTGGATTCATTGATGTTTTGAAGGGTTTTTTGTGTCTCTATCTCCTTCAGTTCTGCTCTGATCTTGTTTCTTGCCTTCTGCTAGCCTTTGAATGTGTTTGCTCTTGCTTCTCTAGTTCTTTTAATTGTGATGTTAGTGTGTCAATTTTAGATCTTTCCTTCTTTCTCTTGTGGGCATTTAGTGCTATAAATTTCCCTCTACACCCTACTTTTAATGTGTCCCAGAGATTCTGGTATGTTGTGTCTTTGTTCTCATTGGTTTCAAAGAACATCTTTATTTCTGCCTTCATTTCATTATGTACCCAGTAGTCATTCAGGAGCAGGTTGTTCGGTTTCCATGTAGTTGAGCAGTTATGAGTGAGTTTCTTAATCCTGAGTTCTAGTTTGATTGCACTGTGGTCTGAGAGACAGTTTGTTATAATTTCTCTTCTTTCACATGTGCTGAGGAGCGCTTTTCTTCCAACTATATGGTCAATTTTGGAATAAGTGTGATGTGGTGCTGAGAAGAATGTACATTCTGTTGATTTGGGATGGAGAGTTCTGTATATGTCTATTAGATCTGCTCAGTGCAAAGCTGGGTTCAATTCCTGGATATCCTTGTTAACTTTCTGTCTCGTTGATCTGTCTAATGTTGACAGTGGGGTGTTAAAATCTCCCATTATTATTGTATGGGAGTCTAAGTCTCTTTGTAGGTCACTCAGGACTTGCTTTATGAATCTGGGTGCTCCTGTATTGGGTGCATATATATTTAGGATAGTTAGCTCTTCTTGTTGAATTGATCCCTTTACCATTATGTAATTGCCTTCTTTGTCTCTTTTGATCTTTGTTGGTTTAAAGTCTGTTTTATCAGAGGCTAGGACTGCAACCCCTGCCTTTTTTGTTTTACATTTACTTGGTAGATCTTCTTCCATCCCTTTATTTTGAGACTATGTGTGTCTCTGCACATGAGATGGGTTTCCTGAATACAGCACACTGATGGGTCTTGACTCTTTATCCAATTTGCCAGTCTCTGTCTTTTAATTGGAGCATTTAGCCCGTTTACATTTAAGGTTAATATTGTTATGTGTGAATTTGATCCTGTCATTATGATGTTAGCTGGTTATTTTGCTCGTTAGCTGATGCAGTTTCTTCCTAGCATCAATGGTCTTTACAATTTGGCATGTTTTTGCAGTAGCTGGTACCAGTTGTTCCTCTCCATGTTTAGTGCTTCCTTCAGGAGCTCTTGTAAGGCAGGCCTGGTGGTGACAAAATCTCTCAGCATTTCCTCATCTGTAAAGGATTTTATTTCTCCTTCACTTATGCAGCTTAGTTTGGCTGGATATGAAATTCTGGGTTGAAAATTCTTTTCTTTAAGAATGTTGAATATTGACCCCCACTCTCTTCTGGCTTGTAGAGTTTCTGCCGAGAAATCAGCTGTTAGTCTGATGGGCTTCCCTTTGTGGGTAACCTGACCTTTCTCTCTGGCTGCCCTTAACAGTTTTTCCTTCATTTCAACTTTGGTGAATCTGACAATTATGTGTCTTGGAGTTGCTTTTCTCAAGGAGTATCTTTGTGGCATTCTCTGTATTTCCTGAATTTGAATGTTGGCCTGCCTTGCTCCATTGGGGAAGTTCTCCTGGATAATATCCTGCAGAGTGTTTTCCAACTTGGTTCCATTCTCCCCATCACTTTCAGGTACACCAATCAGACATAGATTTGGTCTTTTCACATAGTCCCATATTTCTTGGAGGCTTTGTTCATTTCTTTTCACTCTTTTTTCTCTAAACTTCTCTTCTTGCTTCATTTCATTCATTTGATCTTCAATCACTGATACCCTTTCTTCCTGTTGATCGAACTGGCTACTGAAGCTTGTGCATTCATCACATACTTTTCATGCCATGGTTTTCAGCTCCATCAGGTCATTTAATGTCTTCTCTACACTGTTTACTCTAGTTAGCCATTTGTCTAATCTTTTTTCAAGGTTTTTAGCTTCTTTGTGATGGGTTCAAACATCTGATGCCTTCTTCTCTCAACTCATCAAAGTCATTCTCCACCCACCTTTCTTCCATTGCTGGCGAGGAGCTGCATTCCTCTGGAGGAGAAGAGGAGCTCTGATTTTTAGAATTTTCAGCTTTTCTGCTTTGGTTTCTCCCCATCTTTGTGGTTTTATCTACCTTTGGTCTTTGATCACGGTGATGTACAGGTGGGGTTTTCTTGTGGATGTCCTTTCTTTATGTTAGTTTTCCTTCTAACAGTCAGGATCCTCAGCTGCAGGTCTGTTGGAGTTTGCTGGAGGTCCACTCCAGACCCTGTTTTCCTGGGTATCACCAGCGGAGGCTGCAGAACAGTGAATATTGCAGAACAACAATTGTTGCTGCCTGATTTTTCTTCTGGAAGCTTCGTCTCAGAGGGGCACCTGGCCGTGAGGTTTCAGTCAGTCTCTTCTGGGAGGAGCCTTCCAGTTATGCTACTTGGGTGTTAGGGACCCACTTGAGGAGGCAGTCTGTCCTTTCTCAGATCTCAAACTCTGTACTGGGAGAACCACTACTCTCTTCAAAGCTGTCACACAGGGACATTTAAGTCTGCAGAAGTTTCTGCTGCCTTTTCTTGAGCTATGCCCTGCCCCCACAGGTGGAGTCTGAGCTGAGGTGGGCTCCACCCAGTTCGAGCTTCCTGGCCGCTTTGTTTACCTACTCAAGCCTCAGCAATGGCGGGCGCCCCTCTCCCAGCCTCGCTGCCACCTTGCAGTTAGATCTCAGACTGCTGTGCTAGCAATGAGCAAGGCTCCGTGGGCATGGGACCCTCTGAGCCAGGCATAGGATATATTCTTCTGGTGTGCCATTTGCTAAGACCATTGAAAAAGTACAGTATTAGGGTGGGAGTGACCCAGTTTTCCAGGTACTATCTGTTACAGCTTCCTTTGACTAGAAAAGGGAATTCCCTGACCCCTTGCACTTCCTGGGTGAGGCGATGCCTCGCCCTGCTTTGGCTCACTCTCACTGGGCTGCACCCAGTGTCCTGCACCCACTGCCTGATAAGCCCCAGTGAGATGAACCTGGTACCTCAGTTGGAAATGCAGAAATCACCCGTCTTCTGCATGGCTCATGCTGGGAGCTGTAGACTGGAGCTGTTCCTATTCGGCCGTCTTGGAACCTCTTTAAATATTTAATTTTATTAGTAGCTATTGTAATTGTAATTTTATTAGTAGCAATTGTAATTGTACTAATTTTATTAGTAGCTATTAGTAAGTATTTAATTTTATTAGTAGCTATTGTAAGTTTTTAAAATTTGATTTTCAGATTTCTTGCTGTTGGCAAATACAATGGTATTAATTTGTATGTTGATTTTGTATCCTGCAACTATATTGAATTTGTTTATCAGTTACACAAGTTTTTTGGTGGAGTGTTTAGGTTTTTCCAAATATAACATTATATCATCTGCAAACAAACATAATTTGATTTCTTCCTTTCCAATTTTAATGCCATTTTCCCCTTTCTCCTTCCTTCCTTCCTTCCTTCCTTCCTTCCTTCCTTCCTTCCCTCCCTCCCTTCCTTCCCTCCCTCCCTTCCTTTTACTTTCTCTTATCTGATTTTTCTAGCTAGGACTTCCAATATGTTTAATAACAGTGATGAAAGTGGGCATTTTCATCATGTGATTTATCCTTCATTCTGTTGATAAGCTGTATAGCATTGATTGATCTGCATATGGTTTTGGTTTTGGTCATATTACATATCTTACAGAATAGGCTTTCAGTTTTTTCTCACTGAGTATGATACTAGTTGTGGGTTTGTTGTGTGTGGCTTTTGCTATGTTGAGGTTTGTTTCTTCTGTCCATGTGTTTTGAGGGTTTTTATTATAAAAGGATTTTGAATTTTATCAAATGCTTTTGCACATCAGTTGAAATGACTATATAATTTCTTCCTTCATTCTGTTGATATGATGCATCACATTGATTGATCTGCATATGTTAAACTATACTTGCATCCCTGTGACAAGACCCATGTAGTCATAATGAATGATATTTTTAATGTATTGTTGAAATTGGTTTACTGGGTTTTTGTTGAGGATATTTGCATTAATGTTCTTCAGTGATATTGACCTATAGTTTTTTTTTTTTTAAATGGGTCTTTCGTTTTATATCATGGTAATTCTAGATTCACAAAATTAGTTTGAAAGTATTTCCTCCTTCTCCAGTTTTTGGGATAGCTTGAGTAAGATTGGTATTACTTCCTTTTAAATATTTGGTAAAATTCTGCAGTGAAGCCATTGGATCCTGGGGTTTTTCTTTGCCGGTAGACTTTCTATTGTGACTTTGATCTAGGTACTTGTTTTTGGTCTGACCATGTCTTGGATTTCTTCATGGCTCAATCTTGGTAGGTTTTATGTGTCTAGCAGTTTATCCATTGCTCCTAGGTTTTTCTGTTTATTGCTGTACAGTTGTTCATACTAACCTCTAATGATTTTTTGAATTCCTGCAGTATTGGTTGTAATGTCTCCTTTTTCATCTCTGATTTTATTCATTTTAGTCCTTTTTAAAATTTATCTTCCTGGTTGGCCTGCATTAAGATTTGTCGTTGTGCATTTTTTCAAAAAATATTTACTTAGCTATATCAATGCTTAATATCCTATCAACATATTTAACTTAACAAATCATACGACTTTCTTTGTATTTTCAACTATCAAAATGACATATAATGATACTTTAGGAAATATATCTTAGAAGTGTTTCACATATTAAGGTATTTATTTTGTGGTATATGCTATACAAGTTAAGGCATTACTAGCTTTCATAACAAATAAACTCTGAACAAAACACAATAGAAATTTATTTCTCACTTGCAGAAATACCAAATCTGGAGGTAAACTACGAACATGGTGATTTACGGACATAGACTCTTTCCATTTTGTGGCTTAGCCACCTTCAAAACATGGTTTTGAGTCTTCTCCATTCAGCAAGCAAGTGGGAAAAGGGAGGGAGACTGTACAGGAGAATCTATTTTTTGTGTAAATGTAAATTTTCATTCCCCTGGAAAAAAAATGTGTAGAATTGCAATTGCTGGGTCAAATGGTAGTTATTTGTTTAGTTGTATAAGAAAATGTGCATGAAGTTTTTATGAGTCAGGTCTCAAAATGGTGTACTTTAAATTCTGCCTACATTCCATGGATGAGAAATAGATTTAATAGTCACTCGTAACTGAAAAGTGGTTTCGGAAATGTATTCTACTTGCCTAGGAGAAAGAGAAACAGATTTTAATGAACACATAGCAATATTGCTACCCATAGTATGAGCTTCATTCTTCATTCATTTAGCTTGCTAAAATCTGTGTTTATATTCATTTGGCCAAAAGTCATATAATTGCAGTCTGAATAAAAACTTTGTTGGAAGAGTCAGAGGAAAAAGAAGTTATTTTTTTCTAGGTAATTTTTGTCTACCCCTGATGTTATTTTTTCTCATGTATATATGGCACTGGCAGCTATTACTCTAGTAACAAAAAATCTTGAGGCAGGATATCAAAATATAATTGCACTCTTTATTTCTTTGGTTAAAGAATGCAGCATCGATTTGTCAAAATTTTAAAAAATTCAGTGTATTATGTTAAAATAGCTCTATGAAACGTCTTATTCTGTTTCAGGTTGCTATAAAGGAATACTTGACACTGGGTAATTTATCAAGAAAAGAGGTTTAATTAGCTCATGGTTCTGCAGACTGAGAAGTTGAAGGGGCTAGCTGCAATTACAGCTCTGGTTTCTGGTGAGGGATTTTGTGCTGTATCACAATATGGCAGAGAAGGTAGAAAAAGAAGTAGACACATGTGAAGAGTGAAAACACTGAGGGGCATCCTGACTTTATAGCAACCCACTCTCCTGGGAACTAATCCATTTCCATAAGAATGAATCTAGTCTCTTGAGTGTAAGAGCTCACTCACTGATACTAGAACAACACCAAGTCATTCACAGGGGATCCACCTCCATTACCCAAATGCCTCCCAACAGGCTTCACCTCTCAGCACTGCTACATGGGGGGTCAAATTTCCACATAAATTTTAGTAAGGACAAATAAACCTGTATACAAAACACAGCAGAGCATATGATATAAAATAAGTTGCTTTACCCTGCCCACTCCCTTCCACTTTGAAGTAATTATTTTGTGTTACGTAAATGCAACCCAAAATTGACTTTGCTCAAGTGTTATTCTTTGAAAGAAGACAATCAATTTTTTTATTTTTACAAGTAACTCAAATAATAGGAATATAAAACTAACCCTCGAGGGGAATTGCTGAGCTGCCTCCCCATGCCCACATTCGTTAAGACAATTTTACCTTATCTCTGGGAGGGTAATTTCTGGATTAATGATTTTTAGTTGTTTTAATCAATTGATAAAAATTTGATGATTTTGGTTTTCATAAATGGGTAACATCACTTTCTCTCCCACTTTCTTGTTACCCTAACTTTTGCTATGAAGCCACGTCTGATATTGAAAAAAGGACTGTGTTTCAAATAAAAACCATTACAAATAGTACAGTACGCATTTATTGAACAAATACTTTTTTCCAGCTACTGTCCTAAATATTTTATGTGCATTATTTCATAAAATTCCCACTATAATCTGTAAAGTAGGTATTATTATTATTTAAATATTAAATAATAAATACCTGGGACTTAGAAGTTAAATAAGTTGCACTAGGCAAGATAGATCATAAATCAAAGTGTGCAACTTGGACATAGGTCTTTGTAACTCCATATCTCAGGCTATTAACCATAATGCAATTTCGCATCTCTCCTACTGTGGGTTTACGACTTGGGCAAATGATGTGAACCTCTGGACAATCTTAGTTATTGCCCAATAAATGAAAAGGGGTGTGCAAGCATCTACTTGAGATTCTGCATTCAATTCTATTGGATATATGTATACTCTGAAGTGGATTGCTGAGTAATAAGGAAATTGTAGTTTAAATTTTTTGAGGAACTTCCACACTGGTTCCCATACTTGCTGCACCATTTTGTATTCCACCAAACAGTGCAAAACAAACAAACAAACAAAAAACAAAAAACAAACAAATTTTCCACATCTTCACACATTTTCACCATGAGTTGTTATTATGTTATTTGCTCTTGCAATTGCCATCATGACGGTAAGTTGATATCTTATTGTGCTCTTGATTTGCATTTCTCTGAAGGATTAGTTATTTTGAGCATCTCCTCATGTGATTATTGAACATGTACATATATTATTTGGAGAAATGTCTACTCAGTCATTTGATCATTTTTAAATTTGGTTGTTTGCATTTTTCTTGTTGAATTGGAGGAGTTCTTTATATATTCTGGGTAAAACCCATTAAAAATGTATTATTTACAAATATTTTCTCACATTCTATAGGTTGCCTTTTTACTCTTTTGATGCACAGAAGTTTTTAAATTTTGAAGTATTCCGATTAAACTTTTTATTTTTAAACTTTTTTTAATTTTACGTGTACATAGAAGGTGTAAATATTCATGGGGTACATGAGATACTTTGAAACTGGCATATAATGCTTCATAAACACATCAGTGTAAATGAGGTGCCCATTACCTCAAGCATTTATCATTTTGCAATGTTGCAAACGTTCTCATATACACTTTTGGTTATTTTTAAATGTATAATAAATTATTATTCACTGTAATTACTCTGTTGTGCTATAAAATACTAGTTCTCATTTGTTCTAACTATATTTTTGTACCTACTAACCATCCCCACTCCCCACCACCACTACCCTTCCCAAACTATGGTAACCCAGTTTGTTTACTTTTGTTGTTTGTGCTTTAGGTGTCATGTCTGAGAAATCATTGAAAATTCAATGTGATAAAGTTTTTACTCTACATTTCTTTCTAAAACGCGTATAATTTTAGCTTTTACATTAGGTCTTTGACCATTTGAGTTAATTTTTTGTAAGTGGTGTAAGTTAAGGATCCAACTTCATTCTTTTCAGATATTCAGTACTTTTAACTGAATATTAAAATGGATATTCAGTACTTTTAACACCATTTGCTGAAAAGATTTTCCTTCCCTCATTTGAATGGCCTTGGCACCTTTGTCAAAAATGATTTGACAATATATGTGAGTATATATTTCTGGGTTCTCAATTCTATTGCAGTGGATTGTAGGTCTGTCATTATGTCATTAATACACAGTTTGATTACCATAGTTATATAGTAAGTTTTGAAATCAGGAAATGTGAGAACTCCAATTTTGCTCTCTTTACTCAAGACCATTTTGGTAATTTTGAGTCCTTTGAAATACCATACAAATTTTAGGATAGATTTTACTATTTTTGCAAAAAAATTTAATAGGATCTTATAGGAATCACATTGAATCTGTACATTGTTTTGGGAAATATTGACATATTTTTATTTTTATTTTATTTTAGATTAACGGAGGTACATGTGCTTGCTTTTTCATAATGGTGAAGACTGGACTTCTAGTGTACCCAATAAATATCTAAATAGCAAACATTGTGCCTGATTTTTCAACAGTCTCTTCATTCCCATCTTCTCCCCTTTTGGAGTTACCAGTGTCTATTATTTCCATCTTTATAATCATATGGACCCATTGCTTAGCTATCACTTTTAAGTGAGAACATGCAATATTTGATTGTCTTTTTCTGAGTTAGTTCACTTAGGATAATCGTCCCCAGCTCCATCCACATTGCTGCAAAGGGAATACATTTATTATTTTTATGGTTGTATAGTAGACCATGGTGTATTTTCTTTATCCAGACAACCACTGATGGACAGTTAAGTTGGTTTCATGACTTTGTTACTATGAATAGTGCTGCAATGAACATATGATTACAGGTGCCTGTTTTATATAATGATTTGTTTTCCTTTGGGTATACACCCAGTAATGGGATTGCTGGGTTAAATAATAGTTCTATTTTTAGTTCTTTGAGAAATCTCCATACCGTTTTACATGGAGGTTAAATAAATTTACATTCCCAACAAAAACGTATAAGCATTCCACTTTCTCCACAAATATGCCAACATCTGATGTTTTCTTTTCCTTGTTTTACTTTTTAATAATAGCAATTCTGACCAGTGTGAGATGATATCACATTGTGGTTTTAATTTGCATTTCTCTGATGATTAATAATGTTGAGAAAATGCTCAACATTATTAATGTGTTAAAATACAAGTATTTGTTGGTCACTTGCATTTTTTCCTTTAAGAAATGTCTGTTCATGTTCTTTGCCCAACTTTTAGTGGAGATGTTTGTTTGTTTGTTTTTTCTTGTTATTGATTTTCTTGTAGATTCTGGATATTAGTCCTTTGTCACATAAATAATTTGCAAATATTTTCTCCCATTCTGTAGGTTGTCTGTTTACTCTGTTGATTGTTTATTTTGCTGTGTAACAGCATTTTGGTTTAATTAAGTCACATTTGTCTATCTTTGTTTTGGTTACATTTGCTTTTGAGTTCTTCATCATAAGTGGTTTGACTTGGCCAATGTCCAGGAAAGTTTTCTCTATATTTTCTTCCAGGATTTTTGTAGTTCCATGTTTTTCGTTTAAGTCTTTAATCCATCTTGAGCTGATTTTTGTATATGGTGAGAGATTGGGGTCCAGTTTCATTCTTCTGCACATAGCTAGTCAATTTTCCCAGCACCATTGATTGAATAAGGTGTCCTTTCTCCATTTTGTATTTTTGGCAACTTTGTTGAAGATCAGTTGGTTGTAGTATGTGGCTTTATTTCTGGGTTCTCTGTTTTGTCCTCTTTATCTATGTGTCTATTTATGCTCCAGTACCATGCTGTTTTAATTACTGTAGCCTTGTAGTTTAACTTGAAGTCATGCAGTGTGATACCTTCGGATTTGTTCTTTTCACCCAGAATTGCCTTGACTACTTTTTTTTGGTGCCGTTCCATATGAATTTTAGGATTGTATTTTTCTAATTCTGTTAAAAATGATATTGGTAATTTGATAGGGATTGCCTTGAATCTGCAGGTTGCTTTGGACAGTATGCTCATTTTAACAATATTGATTCTTCCAATCCGTGAGCATGGGATATTTTCTATGTTTGAATCATCTATGATTTATTTCATCAGTGTTTTGAAGTTCTCTTTGTAGATATCTTTTACGTCCTTGTTAAATGTATTCCTAGGTATTTTTTTTTTATTTTTGCTTATTATAAATGGAATTGAGTTATTGATTTGGTTTTCAGCATGGACTTTACTGGTGTACAGAAATGCTACTGTTTTGCACATTGATTTTGTATTTTGAAACATTAGTGAATTTTCTTATCAAGTCTAGGAGTCTTTTGGGGGAATATTTAGGGTTTTCTAGGAATATAATCATCATCAGCAAAGAGACAGTTTGATCTACTCTTTCCCAATTTGAAGACTTTTTATTTATTTCTCTTGCCCAATTACTGTGGTTAGGACTTCCATGTATTATGTCGAGTATGAGTGGTGAGATTGGACATCCTTGTCTTCTTGAACTTCTTAGTTGGAATCCTTTTAACTTTTCTGTATTCGGTATAATGTTGGCTGTGGTTTAGTTAGAGATGGCTCTTATTATTTTGAGGTATGTTCTTTTGATGTCTAGTGTGTTCAGCGTTTTTATGATGAAGGGACACATTTTCTCAAGTGCTTGTTCTGCATCTGTTGAGATGGTGAATCACATTTATTGATTTGCAGATGTTGAATCATCCTTACATCCCTGTAATAAAACCCACTTGATTGTGATGAATTAACTTTTTTGATGTGCTGTTGGAATCTGTTTGCTAGTACTTTGTTGAGGACTTTTGATTCTATGTTTTCAGAGCTATTGGCTTGTAGTTTTCTTTTTTGTTTTGTCCTTGCCTGATTTTGGTATCAGAATGATTGATACTGGTAATACTGGTTTCATAGAATGAGTTAGAAAGAAATCACTTCTCAATTTCCCGGAATAGTTTCAATAAGATTGTTACCAGCTCGTCTTTTTATGTCTGGAAAAATTTGGCTGTGAATCTGTCTAATACCGGGCTTTTTTGTTTTCTTGAAAAAAATTTTATTACTGATTGTTTCTTTACTCGTTATTGGCAGGTTTACGATTTTTATTTCTTCCTGGTTCAGTCTTGGGAATTGGTATGTTTCCAGGAAATTATCAATTTTTTACAGGTTTTCTAGTTTTAGCACATAGTGGCATTCATAGTAGTCCCTGATAATCTTTTGTATTTGTGTGGCATCAGTTGTAATGTCCTCTTTCTCATTTCTGATTGTACTTGTTTGAATCTTGCCTCACTGTATCTTGGTTAATCTAGTTAGCTGTCTGTCAATTTTGCTTATCCTTAAAAAGAAACCACAACTTTTTCTTTTGTTACTTTCTTGTATCATTTTTTTTTGTCTCCATCTTACTTAGTTCTGCTCTGACCTTTGTGATTTCTTTTCTTCTGTTAGTTTTGGGTTTGCATTGTTCTTGTTTTTCCGGTTCCTTGAACTTTGATGTTTGGCTTTTAATTTGGGATTGTTGTAATGTGGACATTTAATCGTATAAATTTTTCTCTTAATACTGTTTTTGCTGTATCACATAGTTTTTGATATGTCGTATCTCTGTTTTCACCATTTTTATTTCTCTTTATTTGTGCCTTAATTTTGTTGTTTACTCAAAAGTCATTCAGAAACAAGTTGTTTAGCTTCCGTGTAACTGTGTAGTTTTTAGAGTTCCTCTTGGTGTTGCTTTTAAATTTTTTTTCACTGTGGTCCAAAAAGATACTTAATATGATTTTGATTTCAAAATATTTAATAAATCTTCCTTTATGTCCAAGCATATGGTCAATTTTGGAGAATATTCTATGTGGAGGTGAAAAGAGAATATATTCTACTGTCATTGGATGGAATGCTCTGTAAATGTCTAATATGTTCATTTGGTCTATAGTTCAGTGTAAGTTTGAGTTTCTTTGTTGCTTTACCACTTTAGTGATCTGTCTAGTGGTTTTAGTGGGGGTGTTTAAGTCCCTCATTATTACTCTATTGCTATCCATGTTTTTTTAGGTCAAGTAGTATTTGTTTTATGAATCTGGGTGCTCCAGTGTTGGGTGTATATATATTTAGGATGGTTAAATCTTCTTGATGTACTGAAGCTTTTATCATTATATAAGGCCCTTCTTTTTTTTTTAACTGCTGTTGGTTTAAGGTCTGTTTTATCTGATATGGGGATAGCTGCTCCTGTTCACTTTTGCTTTCCATTTGCATGACGTATTTTTATTCACCCATTTAATTTAAGTCTGTAGTTGTATTTAGCCAGTAGGTGTGTCTCTTTTAGGCAACAGATTGTTGTGTGTTTTTTTTTCAATGAAGTTAGTCTATCAGTATCTTTTAAGTGGAGTATTTAGGCCATTCATATTCAAGGTGAATAATATTAATATGTGAGATTTTGATCTTGTCATATTGTCATTACCTAGTTGCCTTGGGGTTTCAATTGTGTAATTGTTTCATAGGATATACAAACTTTGTACTTATGTGTCCTTTTACAATGATGATTGTTGTTGGTTCATCTCCATGTTTAGAACTCTTTTGAGCTTTTCTTGGAGGAACAGTCTAGTGGTAATAAATTCCCTTAGTGATTGTCTGGGAAATACTATTTCTCCCTTATTTTTGAAGCTTAGTTTGGCAGGATATATTATTTTATTCTGGCATTCCTTTTCTTTAAGGAGGCAAAAAATAGCCCAAATCTTTTCTAGATTGTAGGATTTCTGCTGAAAAGTTTGCTATTAGTCTGATGAGATTTCATTTATAGATGATTACACAATTCTCCTTGCCACTCTTAGGATTTTTTTTTCAAGCTGACTTTGGATAGCTTGATGACTATATATATATATATATATATATTTTTTTTGAATCAGAGTTTCACTCTTGTTGCCCAGGCTGGAGTGCAGTGGTGTGATCTTGGCTCATTGCAACCTCTGCCTTCCGGTTTCAAGCAATTGGATGACTATATTTTTTGGTGAAGTTCTTCTTGCAATGTATCTTCCAGGATTTCTCTGACTTCTTGTCTGGATGTCTAAATCTCAAAGTTTTCTTGAATTATTTTCTGAAATAAGTTTTCCATACTTTTTTTTCCTTTCTTTCTCTCTAGAATACTTACAACTTGTAGATTTTTAGATTGTAGATTTGGAAGTTTTACATAATTCCATATTTCTCAAAGGCTTTGTTCATCTTTTTAAATTCATTGTTCTTTATTTCTTCTGACCGAGCTAATTCAAATGACCTGTGTTTCAGCTCTGTAATACTTTTTTCTATTTGGTTTAGCCTATTGTTAAAGATTTTAACTGTATTTTGTAACTCCTACTTTTTTTTTATTTCCAGATGTTCTGTTTTTTTCATAATATTTTTCTCTTCTTTCATGTCCTGAATTGTTTTCCTGATTTCTTTGTTGATTTTAGCTTTTTCTTGCATCACATTGAGCTTCTTTTTTTTTTTTTTTTTTTTTTTTGAGACGGAGTCTCGCTCTGTCGCCCAGGCTGGAGTGCAGTGGCGGGATCTCGGCTCACTGCAAGCTCCGCCTCCCGGGTTCACGCCATTCTCCTGCCTCAGCCTCCCAAGTAGCTGGGACTACAGGCGCCCGCCACTACGCCCGGCTAATTTTTTGTATTTTTAGTAGAGACGGGGTTTCACCGTTTTAGCCGGGATGGTCTCGATCTCCTGACCTCGTGATCCGCCCACCTCGGCCTCCCAAAGTGCTGGGATTACAGGCGTGAGCCACCGCGCCCGGCCCAAGCTTCTTTAAAATCAATACATAGAATACCTAGTATTTCAAAGATTTCATTTTGGTTAGAATTTGTTGGTAAAGAGTTAGTCTTCTCCCTTGACGGTATAGTAACACTCTTATACTTTCAGAATTGTTTCTCTGGTTCTTTCCCATTTTGATAGGCTATTTCTTCTACTTATATTTTGATTTTTCTTTTGTTTAGGTGGAAATATTTTTACTCTTGAGGAGGTGTCTAAAGTATATGATGTTGTGTAGAGTCCTTTGACTTTGGCTATGAATGTTTTAAGTGGCAAAGAGTCTATATAAGTTCCTTGGTTATAGGTAGCCTATATATAGTGGCTTTCTCAAATATTTGCTGTAGTAGTGGTGTTCTGGGCATGTCAGCAGGCCCACTGCCTCCTATGTAGCTTGGATGTCAGAGCTCTCAGGGTATCTGACATTATTCCCCAGTGCTGTGCACTTCAGTCAGCAGATTTCTTGTTTTATTGTACCATTTAGCCTCAAGGCAACTAGTTTGTGCTTATGGGTAAGAGCTGATTGCAGCCAATGTGGATGGGTGTGTATTTGATCTGGTTTGCTGTGGGAAGTTCTCTGTTGCCTCAGGCCTTGAGCTGGTTTATATCAGTCAATCACCATCAAAGGGGCTGCTTCCCAGTCTTCTCTCCAGGTTCTGGGGTATTCTTTGCTATTCTGGTGAATTCCCATTTTTCTTCTTGAATTAAAACTCACAGAGTTTATCTTTACACACTGTTTCTCTATTTCTAAGTGACTGAAGCACATTAAAAGCCCGTAACCCACTATGTTAGAATAAAATAGGTATTAACATCTTAAAAATATTGAATCTTCCACTGAATGAACATGGGACATTATTTTATTTACTCATGTCTTTATTAAATTTTTGTAACAAATTTTTGTAGTTTTTAGTATACACATCTTTTACCTCCTTGATTAAGTTTATTCTTAAATATTTTATTATTTTAATGCTGTTGTTTTTGGAATTGTTTTATCATTTTTTAAATGTTTATTGTTAGTGTATAGAAATGAAACTGATATTTCTGTGTTGATTTTGTATCATGCAAATTTGCTTAATTTATTAGTTATAACAGCTTTTTTGTGGAAAATTGATGGTTTTCTATATAGAATATCGTATCTCCTGAAAACAAATTTCACTTTGTAATTTTCAACTTGGATGGCTTTTATTTCTTTATCTTATTATATAATGGTGGCTAGGACGTTTAGTACTATATTAAATAAAAATGACAAAAGTAGGTAACTTGTTCTTATTTCTGATTTTAGAGAAAATGTTTCCAGTCTTTCACCATGTTCCAAGGAGCCTAACGGAAAACTGGGACCAATATCCCCAATTAATATTGATGAACAAACAATCCTAAACAAAATATGAGCAAACAATATTCAGCAACACATAAAAAGGATCATACACCATGTACAAGTGAGATTTATCCCTGGGATGTAAGAATGATTTGATTTATGCAATTCAATCAATGTCATATGTCACATTAGCAGAATGAAAGATAAAAAATTATATATCATATCAATAGACACAGCAAAAGAATTTGACAAAATGCAATATCATTTTGTGATAAAATCTCTCAATAAATTATGTATTAATGTACCACAACATAATAAAGGCCATATATGACAAGCACACAGGTAATATACTCAGTGATGGAAAGCAGAAGGCTTTTTCTTTAAGATTAGGAACAAGACAAGGATGCCCACTTCCACAACTTATAGTTAGTATAGTACTGGTAGTCTTGGCTAGTGCAATTAGGAGAGTGATTGCTGGGTCACACGGTTAATATGTGCTTAACTTTATAAGAAACTGCTCAACAGATTTTCTGATATGGTTTTGGAAGTTTCAGTTATTATAAGAACATACTTTATATACTCCAATTTTATGCCACTGTAAAACAGTAATAAATAATGAACTTTAAGACTTTTCTAAATACAATTTTTAAATAAACTACAATCCTATTTTTAGCTGCTTTTCTATTTTCTACTAAGCCTCTGCCAAAGCTTCTGGGCCACAGTATGTCCACTAAACAAAAAGTTATTTTTGAATGATTCTGTTGCCTTAACCTTTGATGCATACCATGCCTACATTAAAAAAACTGGTATGACAAAATTTCTTTTGTATTGCTAATTTTAAAATAAAATCTTTGGAAAATATGCACCCTGTATATGATTACCTACTAGGGGATCAATAGTGACAAATGTAAAAGCTTTTAAATCATTTTTAAAAATGTATAGCCTACACGCATTATGCTACAAGATATTGTTTCTTTATTTAAAAAAATCTTGCCTGTATCAAAACATCTCATGTACCCCATAAGTATATGCAGCTATGATGTACCAATACAAACTAAGAATGAAAAATTAAAAAATCTTACCTACTTTTTAAAATATTTGAGATCTTAGAAAGTTAACTGTAGTATAATATAAAAATAATTATAATGCTGATGGTTGTTGTGAAGCCTTGGTTCTTGTATTTTGAGATTAAAAGAATTTAAACAAGAGACACACAGCAAAGGAGATGCAGTATAGAGCAATGCATTTCAAAGGAGAAAGAATACTCTGAAAGTTAGGTGCAGAATAGACAGTACACCCTGAGGGACAATTCAGAGTGAGCTGCCCGTGAGGATGAGATGGCAAAGACTGGCATTAGGGAGACTCCCTTTATGGAAGTCTTACATGATTATTCATAAGGGTGTGGGAAAGAATGTTGCTAGTAAGCATATTATGGGTGGTCCTTTGGCTGCACATGCACGGTAGCTGTACATGCTTGTCCATACATCACATGTCTCATTAGCATCTTAAATCTCCACCCAGCAGTGTGTTTTTTACTATTAGAGCAAATCATCAGTCTGAGGACAGGTAAAATCAAAATGTGCCTGCTTTCTACAGGGGAACTTCCCTTCTGGAGTTAGCTTTTCTTGAATGAGCTTGACTACAATGCAAATGCAGGGGTTCATTTTGTTGATGGTGTGGTCACTATGGCTGCCACATCCTGAGGACATGGTTACCACCTTGACTACCTAGCCTCTCTCAATTTTCCCTTAAGTGATTTATGGCTCACAGTCATATGGGAGGTTGAGGGGCTTGGTTACTTCGTCCAGAGCTGCTTCCTGCTGAGTGGGTAGTTGTCCCTGCTTAGCCTGGGCCCTAAAGTCTCTTTCTGTCTCGTCTAACGAGTTTTAAGTCATGTTTTTTTGTAGGACTGGTGGGTGAGATGTGGGACAGCTTATTAGCAGCCAAATGTTGGAGGCCTTGCAAAACCATCATGTGGGCCTGGGATTGCTGTAGGAGAGAGAGCTAGAAACTGGTTAGCACTTTAAACAAAGTTGGACTGAAAGTTACGGCTAAAAGTATGGTAATAATTGGCACTATTAAAGGAAGCAAGGCTGATAATATCCGTTGTTTCCAAGTTCCTGTTATAGTTCCCAAAGACTCAGTTTTGTTTGCCTGGGTATTAATATTTTTAATTTTTTCTTGGAACAAAGTAGACTAATTAATGTAAAAACAGCATTCTTCTTTTAGATACAAACATGTTCCTCCTTGTCCAGCTGTGACAACATCTACAGCTCTTCAGTTTTGTAGGCCTACAGCAGCCAGGGAGTCCAGCTGTTGCTGAAGTCTAGTGAGGCCCTCAGCTGTTTTTGGAGGGTCACTGTGGTCTCCTGAGAGTTTATGCTGGATTCCCAAGGCTCCACCTTCTGTGGCTGACCCTGCTAATCCCAACAGAGAGGATAGCATCAAACCTAAAGGAATAAGGGGTCTTATGTGTAGGTGGATCTTGTGATGTTGGTACATGGGGAAAGCGAGAGATGCATTACCCAGTTGAAAGTTAAATAAGGAGAAATGAAAGCAATGGAGCATCATCCCTTCCATAGAGGAGGGAGTTGTAGATATGCCAAAGATTCAAAATGCCTCACACCCGCTAAATTTCTTGTGATGGTTACATTTGTGCTGCGGAAGTATTTTGCATGAAGGTGGTAAAAGTAATGAAAGTTCAGTGGTCACTGTGATTATTAGAGAATGGTAGAGTTGGGTGGTGTTAATAAGTTTTTAAAATAAGCTTATTTTTTTAGAGTCCCATCAAAAAATGTGTAGATGACCCAGTAATAAAAGCTTGGTTATATTGACTCTCTTGGAGTTCTTCTATGAGAATAGTAAAACTGGTACAATTATTGTAAAGGCAGAAGGGAAATTGCTTTGGGTAAAAGATAAGGTAAGAAAACATTTTTCCCTTTGTCAGGAGGAACTATTATTAATATAATTAAAAGGGAAGTTTGAACTGGCCATAGTCAGGTTCAAGGAAGTCTTTGTATTGCTTGTTTAGCCAGATATTCCCATTTTATAGGCCAACGGGTTTGTTCCAGGAGGTGTATAGGGATGTTGGCCCAGTCTTCTTGAGGCACAAATATGGCATATTTTCTGCTTTTTGTAGTCATGCAAAGCCAGCAAGGCTAAGTTAATTTTAATAAGCTGGGAGTATGATTTATTATTTCTTTAGCAGATAAAGTCATTTTACTGAGTGTGTAAAGTGAGTAAATAAGATAAAAATAAAATAATACTTATCTTTTAAGGTGATCTCATTTTGAGCTGTTTTCTTGAATAGAAACTTGTGCTGAGAAAATATTCATTGTTTGATGTTTTGGGTTTTGATTATTTATTGGACAGGAGCTTTAGACCCTCCAGTGCTTCACAAGAATAACTTGGAGTCTGCATTGTGTGTTTTTGTGATGACTTAAAAGAAATAATTTTTATTTGTGATAAGTGCACCCAAGGCCCCATATCCCTAAGTTTTACTGCAATTGAAGTTGGCCAGCTGCAGGGTAGAGTGAAAATCCTAGTTTGGTGTTTGCTATTAACACCAATGACAGTATGGTATTTGGCAGACAGAGCTCCAGGGCAGAAAGTGAGGGTTGACAGCCTGGCCCCTATGTTTAAAAGGAAATTAGTATTTCTACCTGTCACATCCAGAGTCACCCAAGACTCCATTGCTATGATTGAGACTGATTGCTACATGGGAGAGTCATTGTTAGCTTTGGATCTTTTTAGTCTTTGGCCAGGGTCAATAAGGAATTAGGAGTCCCCTCCTCCCTTCAGAGTTGGGGACATTTCTTCTTCCAGTGTCCTTCTTTACCACATTGATGATAGGCTCCAGGGGGTCTGTAAGCCTGAAGGCCCTTGGCCCTTGTTACTGATTTGGCTCCAGTGTCCAGACTTTTTGTAAATGCCACAATAGCCTTTTGGGTTCCATCCAGAATGATCTGGAGATGGAAGTTTTCCCATAGCGAGGGCCAACAATTGGTCCTGTCTTTTGTCTCTCTTTTCTTCTTTGATTTCTATGTGCCTTTTTCACTCTGCCTTGGTATTTGCAGAACCTAAAAGCTATATTTAGTCACTTATTTATTGGGGATTTGGAGACCCATGGCTAGTTTTTGTTAGTTTTTCTAATATCTGGGGCAGACTGATTAATGGAGTAGGTCTCTACGAGGATTTGGTACATTTCTCTATTTGTTACCTTCCTGAGAGAAAGAGAGTGAGTAGTCTGTTTTTTCATTTTAGGTTGGCAATAGGATACCCTGTTATGAGTTGTTCCAATGGGACTGGGTCCTTCAGGGAGTGTCTGGTAAGTACGTTGATAAGGAAGGGATGCAGAAGACTGTGTTTCTGGTAAGGAAGGACTAGTAGAAGGAGTAGAAGCTCAAGAGGTTTGAGGAGTAAACTTGAACTAAATTATAAGGAAAGGAAGCTGTTCATGGGAAGCATGTTTCCTAATATAGAGTCATTAATTACACTGGGTTTCCTCAAACTCTTTTGAAAAACATGGAAATATATTTGGTATTGGTGTTTAAGAAGTTTTTCTTAGTATAGACAAGTTTAGTTAGGTGGAAGAATAATGCCAGGGTCCCCTTGGCCCTTGGAAAATTTCTTATCATCCTCCTTTCTTTTTATAAAAAGGTGTAATTATAAAACAGTATTGTTTGGGGCCATGCTGTGTTGAATAAGCCTAATCATGGAGCACTTATTTATACATTTTTCACTTTATTAATGGCAAACATTATATATGTTCCCTTAATGCTTTAATTTTGCTCTTAAAATAATGGCTTAGCAGGTGTAAATGGTCATACCTCTTAGGCTTCCTAGGTTCCATAAAGGGAATTTGGCAGAAAATGTGTCTTACCCAGCAATTTAAGTTTTCTGCTGTGTAAAGACAAAACTCCATTCACCCTGGCCAAAGGTGGAGGAGCCTTGACACACACAGAAGAAAGGGCCTTTAGGATACATCCTATTAGCCTTACAGGTCAGAGATAAAAAGAAAAGACATGAAAGTCTTTGAGTACAGATGGACCAAAAAGCAAAATAAATTTTCATGAAAACAATTCAAAAATGATGAAATACAACGAAGTGCAAACATAACAGGATATTTGTTACTAGTAAGATAAAATGAAGATCTTTAGACATTTTGAGGCTTGTGCTTAAGCCCTGCAACCTGCACAATCCTCCTGTCCAGGAGGACCAGAGTGACCTAGGTCTACTCAGTGTGGACTTTGAAGTCCACTTCCCACGTCCACCATCACCCATCAGCATGAACTGAGAAATCAGACAGAGGGAGCAAAGTCACAATGGTTGAGGGGAAATGTTCTGGAGATTTATAAGTGGAAGAATGAGAGGAAAGGGAGAGACTCAGTGATGGAAAAGAAAACCCTAAGCCTTAAATTGGTGAGGATGTGATCAAGAGTTTTAGCTTTGGCCATTTTAAAATCTTTTAATTTATACAGCTTAAAAATATTCCAATTTTATTTAGTATACAACCTAGAGGTGTTTCAGTGAGAGTAGAGAGGTAGCTCTCCAGGAGCCAAGATAATCAAATGATAGAAACATAGACCAAAGTCGAGGAGGTCATGGGCATCCACATGAGCAAAGTTAGACCATGATGGAGTCCAAGGTGTCCCCTTGAATTCCCATAAAACTGAAGCCCTAGGAGATCATATGTGTTTGCCATGCACCACCCCAAGTCTCACCAGCCCTGGTAATCACCAGGCCTGACTGAATTGGCCCCCACTGCCAGCTGTGGGGCCCAGATGTCTTGCTGACAAATCTTTTTCTACCTGATTTGCCATTAAAAAAATGTCAATAGGTTTTTGGGGAACAGGTAGTTTTTGGTTACATGGATAAATTATTTAGTGATGATTTCTGAGATTTTGGTGCACCCATTACTCGAGCAATGTACACTGTACCCAATGTGTAGTCTTTTATCCCTCACTCCCCTCCCACACTTCCCAAGTCCTCAAAGTCCATTATATTATTCTTATGCCTTTGCATCATCATAGCTTAAATCCCACTTATGGGTGAGAACATACAATGTTTGGTTTTCAATTCCTGAGTTATGTTACTTAGAATAATGGTCTCCAATTCCATCCAGGTTGCCGCGAATGCCATTATTTTGTCCATATTTATGGCTGAGTAGTATTCCATGGTGTATACATACCCCATTTTCTTTATCCACTAATTGATTGATGGGCATTTGGGCTGTTTCCATATTTTTGCAATTACGAGTTGTGCTGGTTATAAACCTGCATGTGCAAGGATCTATTTCGTAAAATGACTTCCTTTCCTCTGGGTATATACCCAGTAGTGGGATTGGTGGGTCAAATGGTAGTTCTATTTTTAGCTCTTTAAGGAATCTCCACACTGCTTTTCACAGTGGTTGTAGTAGTTTACATTACCACCAACAGTGTAGAAGTGTTCCTATTTCACAATATCCATGTCAATATCTATTTTTTTATTATGGTCATTTTTGCAGGAGTAAGGTGGTATCATATTGTGGTTTTGATTTGCATTTCCCTGATCTTTAGTGGTGTTGAGCATTTTTAATATGTTTGTTGGGCATTTAGATATATTCTTTTGAGAACTGTCTATTCATTTACTTTGCCCACTTTTTGATGGGATCTTTTTTTTTCCTTGCTAATTTGTTTGAGTTCCTTGTAGATTCTGGATATTAGTCCTTTGTCAGATGTATAGATTGTGAAGATTTTCTCCCACTCTGTGGGTTGTCTGTTTTCTCTGCTGACTGTTCCTTTTACTGTGCAGAAGGTCTTTAGTTTAATTAAGCCCCACCTATTTATCTTTTTTTTTATTGCATTTGCTTTTGGGTTCTTGTTCATGAAATCTTTCCCTAAACCAATATTTAGAAGGGCTTTTTGATGTTATCTCCTAGAATTTATATATTTTCAGGTCCTAGATTTAAGTTCTTAATCCACCTTGAGTTGATTTTTGTATAAGGTGAGAGATGAGGATCCAGATTTATTCTCCTACAGGTAGCTTGCCATTATCTCTGCACCATGTGTTAAATAGGGTGTCCTCTCCCTACTTTATGTTTTTGTTTGCTTTGTCAAAGATCCTTTGGCTATAAGTTTTAGCGTTCATTTCTAGATTCTCTATTCTGTTCTATTGGTCTGTATGCCTATTTGTATGCTAGTACCATGATGTTTTGGTGACTATGGCCTTATAGTATAGTTTTAAGTCAAGTAATGTGATGCCTCCAGATTTGTTCTTTCTGCTTAGTCTTGCTTTGGCTATGCAGGCTCTTCTTTGGTTCCATATGAATCTTAGGATTGTCTTTCTTAGTTCTGTGAAGAATGATGATGGTATTTTGATGGAAATTTCTGTAAATATCTGTTAAGTCCACTTGTTCTAGGGTATAGTTTAAGTTCATTGTTTCTTTGTTGACTTTATGTCTTGATGACCTGTTTAGTGCTTTCAGTGGAGTATTGAAGTCCCCATTATTATTATTGTGTTGCTCTCTACCTCATTTCTTAGTTCTAGTAGTAATTGTTTTCTAAATTTTGGAGCTCCAGGGTTATGTGTTATATTTTCCTCTTGGACAAGGCCTTTTATCATTGTATAATGTTCCTCTTTGCCTTTTTAAACTGCTGTTGCTTTAAAGTTTCTCTTGTCTGATATAAGAATAGCTACCCCTGCTCACTTTTGGTGTCCATTTGCATGGAATTTCTTTTTCCACCCCTTTACCTTAAGTTTCTGTGAGTTCTTATGTGTTAGATGAGTATCTTCAAGGCAGCAGATACTTGGGTGGTGAATTCTTATCAATTCTGTATCTTTAGAGTGGAGCATTTAGGATATTTACATTCAATATTCATATTGAGATATGAGTTACTATTCCATTCATTGTGCTATCTGTTGTCTGAATACCTTTATTTATTGTATTTTTGTTTTGTAGGTCCTGTGAGATTCATGGTTTAAAGAGGCTCTGTTTTGATATTTCTTTTCAGGATTTGTTTCAAGATTTAGAGCTCCTTTTAGCAGTTCTTACAGTGCTGGCTTGGTATTGGTGAATTCTCCCAGCATATGTTTGTCTGAAAAAAAATTGTATCTTTCCTTCATTTATGAAGCTTAGTTTCACTGGATACAAAATTCTTGGATGATAATTGTTTTGTTTAAGAAGTCTGAAAACAGGGCTGTGAGGCAAAAGCATGAGGTAATCCATCAAGGAAAAGCTATCAGATTAACAGCAGATTTCTTAGCAGCAGAAACCCTCCAAGCTAGAAGGGATTGGGGCCCCATCTTCAGCCTCTCTAAATAAAACAATTCAGAGATTTTGTCTTGGTTTGGAGCCATTGCTGGTGAGCTAGTGTACTCTTTTGAGGGTGTTAAAGAACCTTGTTTTATCATATAACCAGAACTGTTTTTCTGATTCCTTCTCATTTGGGTAGACTATGTCAGAGAGAAGATCTGGGACTCCAGGGCTGCTGTTCAGATCTTTTTTTTTCCCACAAGGTGGTCGCTTGATGTGGTGCTCTCCTCTTTTCCCTATGGATGGAGTTTCCTGAGAGCCAAACTGAAGTGGTTGTTATTTCTCTTCTGGATCTAGCCACCCAGCAGAGCTACCAGGTTCTGAGCTGGTACTGTGGGGTGTCTGCACATTGTCCTGTGCTGTGAACTGTTCAGGTCTTTCAGCTGTGGATACCAGCACAGTATTTGGGCTGTCTCTCAGGTCCTGCAGGAGCAATCTGCTTCCTTAAAAGGGTCTGTGAATTATCTCAGCCTTTGTGGTATTTTCTTGCAGTAGTTCTTTGAGCAGAAGTTTACAATGCAAGTCTCCACGTGCTGCTCTGTCCATCCAAGTGGGAGCTGCAATTTATTCCTGCCTCCTATCCACCATTTTTGTCATGATCTAGTTGTCTGTTCTGTTCCATTGGTTCATATGCCTGTTTTTATACCAGTACCAGTTCTTGTAGTGCTGACTTTGTATTGGTGAATTCTTTCAGCATTTGTTTGTCTGAAAAAGACTGTATCTTTCATTTTTATGAAGCTTAGTTTCAATGGATACAAAATTCTTGTCTAATAATTGTTTTATTTAAGGAAGCTAAAAAAGGACTTGAATTCCTTCTAGCTTGTAGATTTCTGCAGAGAAATTTGCTATTAATCTGATAGGTTTTCCTTTATAGGTTACTTGATGTTTTTGCCTCACAGTTCTTAAGATTCTTTCCTTTATCTTGACTTTAGATAACCTAATGACTAGGTGCCTAGGCGATGATCTTTTTGTGATGAGTTTCCCAGGTGTTCTTAAAGCTTCTTGTTTTTGGATGCCTGAATTTCTAGCAAGGCCAGGAAAGTTTTCCTAGACTATTTCCTCAAATACGTTTCCAAACTTTTAGATTTCTCTTCTTCCTTGGGAACACCAATTATTCTTAGGTTTTGTCATTTAACATAACCCAAAACTTCTTGGAGAATTTGGTTTATTTTTTTATTCTTTTTTTTTTGTCTTTGTCAGATTGGATTAATTTGAAAGGCTTTGTCTTCAAGCTCTGAGGTTCTTTGTTCTACTTGTGTGATTCTATTGTGGAGTCTTTTCAGTGTATTTTGCATTTCTCTAAGTGTGTCCTTCATTTCCAGAAGTTGTGATTGTTTTTTATTTATGCTATTTATTTCACTGAAGAATACTGCTTTCATATCCTGTATCATGTTTTTGATCTCTTTAAGTTGGTATTCACCTTTCTGTGGTGACTCATTGAGTAGCTTAATAATCAAACTTCTGAATTCTTTTCTGGCAATTCAGAGATTTCTTGGTTCAGATCTATTGCTGGTGAGCTAGTGTGATCTTCTGGGGGTGTGAAAGAAACTTGTTTGGTCATATTGCCAGAATTGTTTTTCTGGCTCCTTCTCATTTGGGTAGACTATGTCAGAGGAAATATCTGGGGCTCAAGCACTGTCATTTAGATTCTTTTTGTCCCATCAGGTGCTCCCTTGATGTGCTGCTTTTCCCCTTCCCCTAGAGATTTGGCTTCCTAAGAGCTGGATTGCAGTGATTCTTATTTCTTTTCTTGGTTTAGCTGCCCAGCAGAGCTACTGGGCTCCAGGCTGATATGGAGGAGTGTCTGCAAAGAGTCCTGTGATGTGATCTATCTTCAGGTCTCTAAGCCATGGATTCCAGCACCTGGTCCAGTGGAGGTAGCAGGGGAGTGAGGTGGACTCTGTTTGGGACCTTGGCTGTAGTGCTGTTTAGTGCACTGGTTTTCTCAAACGCTGGTTGTGCTGGCGGTAAAGTTGTCATGTGGAAGGACTTAGGACCTCTGGTTGCAGGATGCTACAGGCAGTGAAGTTAGCTGTTGTTTTCTCATTTCTTAGGGCAGGGTTGTTCTTTTATGAGTTTCTGTAATGGTTTATGTTGGTTGGCCTCCAGCCCGGATGTGTCGCTTTCAAGAGAGCATCAGCTGTGGTAGTATAGGGAAGATACAAACTTGCCATAGGGTCACCTGGATAAGTACTCAGGTTTCTCAGGTAGTGGGTGGGGCCATAGAGCTTTCAAGAGATTATGTATTTTGTTTTCAGCTACTAGGGTAAGTAGAGAAAGACCATCAGGTTGGGGGCAGGCTTAGGTGCGTCGGAGCTCAGACTCTTCTTGGGCAGGGCTTGCAGCATCCACTGTGGGAGATGGGGCTGTGTTTCTCAGGCCCATGGAGTTATGTTCCCAGGTGGATTATGGCTGCCTCTGCTGCATCATACAGGTTACCAGGAAAGTAGGAAAAAGCCAGCAGTGACAGGCCTCACACAGCTCTCATGCAGCTGGAAAGGCCAGTCTCATTTCCATCGTACTCCCCAAACAACACCAAGTCTATATCCAGGCAGCTGGTGAGCAGGGATGGGAACTTGCCCCAGGTTACAAGCCTCTCCTCTGAGAAAGCAAGTAGGGCTTTCAGGCTTTGCTCCTGCCCACCACAGCTTCTGTGCTCATACCTGCACTTCCTGTTCTCCTCCCACCCCTAGACTCTACCCTAGAAAATTCATGCTTAGTCAAAATTATTACAAAGTTTAGCTGGAAGTTTTCTACTCCCTGTGGTCTTTCCCCAGTTCCACTGGCAGCCCTCCCCAAGGAACCCTGTGAGATAAAGTCAAAAATGGACTCCCTGGGCTTTCTTGGGGGCCGGGAGTGCCTACAGAGCTCTTTCCACTTCTTCTATGTTTATATTTAACTTGACTTTTTAAATTTGTTTCAGCTCTAGGTAAGGTTAAATCCTTCTCCCATGATCTGGATTTTCAGGCTCCCTAGTGAGAATGTGTGTTTGGAGGTGGACTTTTCCCCTCTCACACTTTGGGCACTCACAGTTTTTTGGCTGTCTCTCGATGTTTGCAGCAGCAAGTTGCTTCTTTCAAAGGGTCTGTGAAATATTTTCGTTATTTTGGTATGTTCCTGTGGTAGTTCTTGGAGCAAAAGTTCATAATGTGAGTATCCACAGACTGTTCTGTCCTTCTGAGTCAAAGCTACAAGTTAGTGCTGCCTTCTATCCACTGTTTTCCACCCAATGTGCCATTTTTGATGTCCAATTATAATGATTGGGTGTAGTTTCCATGATGGGGATCCATGTGGCCAAGCATCTTGTACTCAACGTGAATGGCCACTTGGAAAGTCTCCTGAAAAAGTCTAAAAGCACATAGATCTTCAAGGATGAGACATTTTTGGCAAATTAGATTTAATGTGTCCCTCAAGATAAACAAAAATCTTTGAAGAGATTACTTAAATAACAAACAAGTTATAATACCTAATAAGTGCTATTCAGTTGAGATCCTCGGAAGGACCGCAAAACAAAAGGTGACACAAAAACAGCGTAAGAGTCCAAAGGCTGAGTAATCAGGGCATTCCATCCGAAAAAGGTAATTGTTAACATTGCAAAAGCATCAGCCAAATGGAAAGCAATCACAATTCCTTGCTCAAAGAACATGAGTGATTTAAAAATGTCTCCCCTCTCCCAGAGCCATAAAAAAATAGCACTTGGCAAAGCAATTATAGTTCACTAGGTAGTCTGGGACTGCCATATTTCTCAACTTGGCTGAAAGGAAACTGAACCAAATGAAGCAGACAAACCTCTCTCCAATTTGCAGCACCAGAAATTTTTTAAAATTATTATTATACTTTAATTCTAGGGTACATGTGCACAATGTGCAGGTTTGATACATAGGTGTACATGTGCCATGTTGGTTTGCTGCACCTATCATCTCATCATTTACATTAGGTATTTCTTCTAATGCTCTCCCTCCCCCAGCTCCCCACCCCCTGAGAGGCCCCAGTGTGTGATGTTCCCCGCCTTGTGTCTAAGTGTTCTCATTGTTCGATTTGCACCTAGGAGTGAGAACATGCAGTGTTTGATTTTCTGTCCTTGTGATAGTTTGCTGAGAATGATGGTTTCCAGCTTCATCCATGACCATGCAAAGGACATGAACTCATCCTTTTTATTATGACTGCTTAGTATTCCATAGTGTATATGTGCCACGTTTTCTTAATCCAGTCTATCATTGATGGACATTTGGATTGGTTCCAAGTCTTTGCTATTGTGAATTTGTGAATAGTGCCGCAATAAACATATGTGCACATGTGTCTTTACAATAGCATGATTTATAATCCTTCGGATTATATAACCAATAATGGGGTTGCTGGGTTAAATGCTATTTCTAGTTCTAGATCCTTGAGGAATTGCCACACTGACTTCCACAATGGTTGAACTAATTTACACTCCCACCAACAGTGTAAAAGCGTTCCCATTTCTCCACATCCTTCTCAGCATCTGTTGTTTCCTGACTTTAATGATCGCCATTCTAACTGGAGTGAGATGGTATCTCATTGTCATTTTGATTTGCATTTCTCTAATGATCAGTGATCATGAGCATTTTTTTCATGTGTCTGTTGGCTGCATAAATGTCTTCTTTTGAGAAGTGTTTGTTCATATCATTTACCCACTTTTTGGTGGGGTTGTTTGTTTTTTTCTTGTAAATTTGTTTAAGTCCTTTGTAGATTCTGGATATTAGCCCTTTGTCAGATGAGTAGATTACAACAATTTTCTCCCATTCTGTAGGTTGCCTGTTCACTGTGATGGTAGTTTCTTTTGCTTTGCAGAAGCTCTTTAGTTTAATTAGATCCCATTTGTCAATTTTGGCTTTTGTTGTCATTGCTTTTGGTGTTTTGGGCATGAAGTCCTTGCCCATGCCTATGTCCTGAATGGTATTGCCTAAGTTTTCTTCTAAAGTTTTTATGATTTTATGGCTAGCATTTAAGTCTTTAATCCATCTTGAATTAACTTTTGTATCAGGTCTAAGGAAGGGATCCAGTTTCAGCTTTCTACATAAGGCTAGCCAGTTTTCCCAGCACCATTTATTAAATACAGAATCATTTCCCCATTTCTTGTTTTTATCAGGTTTGTCAACGATCAGATGGTTGTAGATATGTGGTGTTATTTCTGAGGCCTCTGTTCTGTTCCATTGGTCTATATCTCTGTTTTGGTAGTAGTACCATGCTGTTTTGGTTACTGTAGCCTTGTAGCATAGTTTGAAGTCAGGTTGCATGATGCCTCCAGCTTTGTTCTTTTGGCTTAGGATTGTCTTGGCAATGCAGGCTCTTTTTTGGTTCCATATGAACTATAAAGTAGTTTTTTCCAATTCTGTGAAGAAAGTCATTGGTAGCTTGATGGGTATATCATTGAATCTATAAATTACCTTGGGCAGTATGGCCATTTTCACAATATTGATTATTCGTATCCATGAGTATGGAATGTTCTTCCATTTGTTTGTGTCTTCTTTTATTTTGTTGAGCAGTGGTTTGTAGTTCTCCTTGAACAGGTCCTTTGCATCCCTTGTAAGTTGGATACCTAGGTGTTTTATTCTCTTTGTAGCAGTTGTGAATGGGAGTTCACTCATGATTTGGCTCTCTGTTTGTCTGTTATTGGTGTATAGGAATGCTTGTGATTTTTGCACATTGATTTTGTATCCTGAGACTTTGCTGAAGTTGCTTATCAGCTTAAGGAGATTTTGGGCTGAGATGATGGGGTTTTCTAAATATACAATCATGTAATCCACAAACAGGGACAATTTGACTTCCTCTTTTCCTAATTGAATACCCTTCATTTCTTTCTCTTGCTTGATTTCCCTGGCCAGAACTTCCAACACTATGTTGAATAGGAGTGGTGAGAGAGGGCATGCTTGTCTTGTGCTGGTTTTTAAAGGGAATGCTTCAAGTTTTTGCCTGTTCAGTATGATATTGGCTGTGGGTTTGTCATAAATAGATCTTATTATTTTGAGATACATTTCATCAATACCTAGTTTATTGAGAGTTTTTAGCATGAAGGGTTGTTGAATTTTGTCAAAGGCCTTTTCTGCATCTATTGAGATAATCATGTGGTTTTTGTCTCTGGTTCTGTTTATGTGATGGGTTATGTTTATTGATTTGCATATGTTGAACGAGCCTTGCATCCCAGAGATGAAGCCAACTTGATCTTGGTGGATAAGCTTTTTGATGGCAGCATCAGAAATGTTGATGGTTGTTGTGAAACCTTTGTTCTGGTCTTCTTAGTTTAAAAGAATTTAAGCAAGATACATACAGCAAAGGAGATGCAGTATAGAAAAATTTATTGCAAAAGAGAAAGAATATTCTGAAATTTAGTCGCAGAATAGTCAGAAAAACTGAGAGATGATTCAGAGTGGGCTGCTCATGAGGATGAGCTAAGAAAGACTGGCACTAGGGACATTCCCTTTATGGAAGTCTAACATGATTTTTCAAAAGGGGTAGAAAAGGGTATTTATAGTAAGCATATTATGGGCGACCTTTGGCTGCACATACACAGTAGCTGTCATGCTTGTTTATACAACACATGTCTCATTAGCATCTTAGATCTCTATCCAGGGATGTAATTTTTACTATTGTAAGAGCAAAGCGTCAGTCTGAGGACAGGTAAAATCAAAATGTGCCTGCTCTCCACAGGAGAACTTCCCTACTAGAGACAGCTTTTCTTGAATGAGCTTGACTGCAATGCCAAAGCTGAGGCTTCTTGTGTTGACAGTGGGTCACACAGGTTGCTGCGTCCTGACAACATGGTCACTTCCTTGCCTACCAATCTCACCTCAATACAAACAAAACAACATGTTTTGTGAGGACTTAAAAAATAAAAATCTTTGAGACATTTAAAAATATGTCTTATCAGCTCCCTTATTGCAAGAATAGCCATGACCTTAAATAGCTTCTGTTTGTTAGATCGCTAGAGTGGCTTTAACAAAGTATCACAGATGGGGTGGCCTAAAAAACATAAATTTATTTTAATGAATTGGCTCATGGTGTTGTGGAAGCTGGCAGTCTAATATCTGGGTATCAGCAGAATTGGTTTATTTTGAGGCCTATCTCCTTCGTTTGTAGATGACTGTCTTCTTTCTGTGTGATTACATGGTCTTTCTTCTGTACCTGTCAGTGTCCTAATTTCCTCTTCTACAAGGACATCAGTTACTTTGGATTAGGGTCCACCTTAATAACCTATGTAACTTAATCACTTCTTTAAAGACTTTATCTTCTACAGAACTGCAGAATGAATAAGAACTGACCAATCCACTATCTGCTGCTTTGAGGAGACTCACATAAAAGGTAAAGACTCACATAAACTTAAAGTAAAGGGGTGGAAAAAGGCATTTCATGCAAATGGACACCAAAACTGAGTAAGGGTAGGTATTCTTATATCAGACAAAACAAACTTTAAAACAACAGCAGTTAAAAGAGATGAAGAGAAACATTATGTAGTGGTAAAAGACCTTGTCCAGCAGGAAACTATCATAATCCTAAACATATATGCCCCCAACACTGGTGCTCCCAGATTTATAAAACTATTACTACTAGAACTAAGAAATGAGATAGACAGCAACACAATAATAGTGCGGGACTTCAATACTCCACTGACAGCACTAGACAGGATTCAAGACAGAAAGTCATCAAACAACTAATGGTTTTAAACTATACTTCGGAACAAATGGACTTAACATATATATAAGGAACATTCCATCCAACAACTGCAGAATACACATTCTATTCAACAGTGCATGAAACTTTCTCCAAGATAGACCATATGATAGGCCATAAAATGAGCCTCAATAAATTTAAGAAAACTGAAATAATATGGAGCACTGTCTCAGACCACAGTGGAATAAAACTGGAACCTTCAAAACCATGCAAATGTACAGAAATTAAATAAGCTGCTACTGAATGAGCATTGGGTCGAAAATGATATCAAGATGAAAATTTAAAAATTCTTCGAACTGAAGGACAATAATGACACAATCTATCAAAACCTCTGGGATACAACAAGGGCGATACTCAGAGGAAAGTTCATAGCCCTAAACACCCACATCAAAAAAACTGAAAGAGCACCAACTGATATTCTAAGGTCACACCTAAAGGAACTAGGGAAATAAGAACAAATTAAACCCAAGACCAGCAGAAGAAAGGAAATAACCAAGATCAGAGCAGAACTAGATAAAATTTAAACAATAACAAAAAAGCAAAGGATAAATGAAACAAAAAGCTCATTTTTTAAAAAGAAGATTGACAGATGATTAGCAAGATTAACCAAGAAAAGAAGAGAGAAAATCCAAATAACCTCATTAAGAAACAAAATGGGAGATATCACAACTGACACCACTGAAATGCAAAAGATAATTCAAGGCTACTATAAACACCTTTATTTGCATAAACTAAAAAAAACCTAGAAGAGATGAATAAATTCCTGGAAAAAATAACACCCTCCTAGCTTAAATCAGGAAAAAAGAGATACTCTGAACAGACCAATAACAAGCAGTGAGATTTAAATGGAAATTTAAGAATTACCAACAAAGAAGTCAAAGACCAGAAGGATTCACAGTAGAATTCTAATAGACATTCAAAGAAGAATTGGTAACAATCCTTGTGACACTGTTCCACAAGATAGAGAAAAAGAGAACACTCCCTAATTCATTCTATGAAGCCAGCATTACCCTAATACCAAAACCAGGAAAAGATATAGACAAATAAGAAAACTACAGACCAATATCCTTGATGAACATAGATGCTAAAATCCTTAACAAAATACTAGCTCACCGAATCCAACAACATATCAAAAAGATAATCCAACATTATCAAATGGGTTTCATACCAGGGATGTAGGGATTGTTTAACATACACAAGTCAATAATTGTGACACACCACACAAACAGAATTAAAAACAAAAATCACATGGTCATCTCAATAGATGCAGAAAAAGTATTTGACAAAATCCGTCATCCATTTATGATTAAAACTCTCAGCAAAATCAACATATAAGGGACATACCTCAATGTAATAAAAGCCATCTATGACAAACACACAGCCAACATATTAATGAATGAGGAAAAGTTGAAAGCATTTCTTTTGAGAACTGGAACAAGACAAGGATGCCCACTCTCACTGCTCCTCTTCAAAGTAATATGGGAAGTCCTAGCCAGAACAATCAGACAAGAGAAAGAAATAAATGTCATCCAAATCGATAAGGAGAAAGTCAAACTGTCACTGCTGACGGTATGACTATTTACCTCAAAAACCCTAAAGACTCCTCCAGAAAGCTCCTAGAACTGATAAAATAATTCAGCAAAGTTTCCAGATACAAGATTAATGTACACAAATCAACAGCTCTTCTATACACCAACAGTGACTAACCAGAGAATCAAATCAAGAACTCAACTCATTTTTTAATAGATGCAGTAAGTAAAATCAAGTAAAATAAAATAAAATACTTAGAAATATACCTAACCAAGGAGGTGAAAGACCTCTACAAGGAAAACTACAAAACACTGCTGAAAGAAATCATAGATGACACAAACAAATGAAAACACAGCCCATGCTCATTGATGGGTAGAATCAATATTGTGAAAATGACCATACGGCCAAAAGCAATCTACAAATTCAGTGCAATCTCCATCAAAATATTACCATCATTCTTCACAGAATTGGAAAAAGCAATACTAAAATTCATATAAAACTAAAAAAGAGCCCTCATAGCGAAAGCAAGACTAAGCAAAAATAACCAATATGGAGGCATCACACTACCTGATTTCAAAGTATACTGTAAGCCGTAGTCACAAAAACAGCATGGTACTCCTCGTATAAAATTAGGCACATAGACCAATGGAACAGAATAGGGAACCCAGAAATAACCCCAAATACTTACAGCCAACTGTTCTTCCACAAAGCAAACCAAAACATAATGTGGGAAAAGGACACTCTTTTCTCTTTTTTTATTATTATACTTTAAGTTATGGGGTACATGTGCACAACGTGCAGTTTTGTTACATAGGTATACATATGCCATGTTGGTTTGCTGCTCCCCTCAACTCATCATTTACATTAGGTATTTCTCCTAATGCTATCCCTCCCCCAGGCACCCACCCCCTGACAGGCCCGGGTGTGTGATGTTCCCTTCTCTGAGGACACCCTTTTCAACAAATGGTGCTGGGATAATTGGGTAGCCACCTACAGGAGAATGAAACTGGATCCTCATCTCTCACCTTATACAAAAATCAACTCAAGATGGATTAAGGACTTAAATCTAATATCTGAAATTATAAAAATTCTGGAAGATAACATTGGAAAAACCCTTGTAGACATTGGCTTAGGCAAGGATTTTATGACCAAGAACCCAGAAGCAAATGCAATAAAAACAAATATAAATTATTGAGATGTAATTAAATGAAAGAGCTTTTTCACAGGAAAAGAAACAGTCAATAGAGTTAACAGACAACCCACAGAGTGGAAGAAAATCTTCACAATCTATACATCTGACAAGGGACCAATATCCAGAATCTACAATTAAGTCACACAAATCAGTAAGAAAAAAACAAACAATCCCATCAAAAAGTAGGCTAAGGACATGAAGACAATTCTCAAAAGAAGATATAAACTTGGCCCACAAACATGTGAAAAAATACTCAACATCACTAATGATCAGGGAAATGCCCTTACTCCTGCAAGAATGGCCATAATCAAAAAATCAAAAAACAATAAATGTTGGCTTGGATGTGGTGATCAGGGAACACTTCTACACTACTGGTGGAAATGTAAACTAGTACAATCACTATGGAAAACATTGTGGAGATACCTTAGAAAACTAAAAGTAGAACTACCATTTGATCCAGCAATACCACTCCTGGGAATCTTCCCAGAGGAAAATACGTCATTATATGAAAAAGATCCTTGCACAGGCGTGTTTACAGCAGCACAATTAGCAATTGCAAAGTTGTGGAACCAACCCAAATGCCCATCAATAAACAAGTGGATAAAGAAACTGATATATATATATATCACAATGATTTATATATAATTCATTCCTTCTTATGGATGATTAGTATTCCATCATATATACTACACAGCCATAAGAAAGAATGAATTAATGGCATTTGCAGTGACCTGGAAGAGACTGGAGACTATTATTCTAAGTGAAGTAACTCAGGAATGGAAAACCAAACGTTGTATGTTCTCACTAATATGAGGGAGATAAACTATGAGGACGCAAAGGCATAAGAATGATACAATGGACTTTGGGGTCTTTGGGGGAAGGGTGGGAGAGGAGTGAGGGATAAAAGACTACAAATAGGGTGCAGTGTATACTGCTCGGGTGACGGGTGCACCAAAATCTCACAAATAACCACTAAAGAACTTACTCATGTAACCAAATACCACCTGTACCCCAATAACTTATGAAAAAAATTTAAAAAGCAACTAAGAGACTAACCAAGCAACAAAGCAACCAACCAACCAACAAACCAATCAAACAAACAATAAGAACTAGCCCCAGACCAATAAACTAAGATCTTATTGAATGGGTTCTTCCTAGGGGATTCTACTGTGCATCCACATTGAGAAACGCTGTCTCTCAGAATTTTCTCCTAACTTCTCTGCTGATGTGAATCACCTGGGATGCTTGTTAAACATGCAGCTTTCCAAGGCTCTCTGGATATTCTGATAACCATGCATCTGGTTTTAAGCCCAGAAATTTGTGTTTTTAACCAGTGCAAGGCTTGATCTTGCCTGCAATAGTGAGATAAAAATAATCATCTTCTACCAATGTAAAAAAAAAAGACTGTATATTCAAATACAATCACATTCTGAGGTACTGGGGGGTAGAGCTATACAAATAAATTTTAGGGGACATAATCCAGTGCATAAAATACAAATTTAGAACTTGTAGACCATCAAGGAGTTAATGATTTTGGACAAATTATAATGGATTTTTTACGCTTCTGAGAGGATGCTGTTATCCATCCCCTTATCTATTTCTTTCAATCATACCTTTTTCATCTGAAGGAATTAGAGAGGTAGCTCAGAAAACAAGTAACAACATCGATTTTGAAATTGTGAAAAATATGTTTTCATGATAATATTTATCTTGTAGGATTTTCTTAGGGTTAAATGAGATAATGCATGTAAATCTCCCCGTACATTGTCTGGCACATGGAAGCTGCCTAACAAATTCTTTGTTTCTTCTCATTGTGGAGAGTGCCTTTCCCTTAGTTAGGTGTCACAACTTGGTCTTGGCTCTAGTGGCACAGTTAACTCAATTCCTGAGTAAAATTTAAGATCTGATCTTTACTATCCAGGTTGTCTTTTAGTCTGATCTTCTATCCTGACCATGGGCTGTTTCTTGACTGTACATTTTTTTTTTTTTTTAGAATTTTAGTTCCTTGCCCTTCACCTCATTTGATTCTCTCCCCATTTACTTCACCCACTATTGGTCTTATTCAAAGCCCAGCCTGCATTCTTGTCTTAATGTGTTCCACGTCCAACTTGTCCATTGCTGTTTTTTTTTGGAGAGTGACCTCAGCATATTTCATGACCATTCACTGGACACTCCCAAATAAATTAAAGGTGCAATCATACTTTTAGCTGCTACCCTATAGTTTTACATCCCCAATCCATAAGCATATTTCCTGTTCTATCCATAAACCTTCAGTTTGTATTTTCATCACTCTCTCATGGTGTTGCATATCTCCAGCATTCCTCTCACCTCTGGAATTCTAGAGATATGTGTTAGTATGCAAACAAACTAACAAAAACCATCAAATAACAACAAAACTTAGATTCAAAGTCAGAAGCTTATACATAATTGCCAAACTTTTTATTGAATTTTCTGGAACTCACTTCAGCTAGGTGGTATGACTTTGGGATACACTCTTTTTGGGAGATTTGGACTGGTTGTAAGAGGTGTTATTAATAATGTTTAATAAAAATTAATAAGACAACTGCTTGTTTTTCTTGCACAAAAATTTTTGCTTTAAACAAATGGGTGTTGATATTTTTCTACATCTCCATTTTGTTATTTTTAAATTCGATTCCTCACATCCCCACACTAGAGTAGGCTGGTCAAAGTATGCAATTTCTCACATTCTGGAGAAACACATAGACTATATAATTCCTTTTTTATGAGCTACCTAAAGTAGTCAGATTCTCAGAGACAGAAAGTAGAATGGTGATGCCAGGGGCTGGAGAGGGAGGTTTGAAACATTGTTGTTTAAATGGTAAAAAGTTTCAGTTTTGCAACATTAAAAAAGTTCTTGAGATTGGTTGTACAATACTGTGAATATACTTAATATTACTGAAATATACACTTAAAATGATTAAGATGAGAAATTTTATGTTGCGTTTATTTTACCATAATGTTTTCTCTTTCAGACTGTGATTTAAATTATTTTTAATATATATCAAGAAATTGAATTGCTGAATCACATGGTCATTCTACAATTCTGCTTTAATTATTTTAGGTACCACCATAATTTTTTTTTAATTATTATACTTTAAGTTCTGGGATACATGTGCAGAACATGCAGGTTTGTTACACAGGTATACATGTGCCATAGTGGTTTGCTGCACCCATCAAGTGACTGCACCATTCTACATCTCCACTAACAAAAGCAAAAATGTACCAATTTCTCTACATCCTCATCAACAATTGTTATTTTATTTAATTACTGTATATATTTAAGAGGTACTTCATAATGTTTTGATATATATAGATATAGATATATACACATAGTGAACTGCTTACTACAGTCCAGAAAATTAACATATACATCATCCCACATAATTTTCTTTCTTTGTGGTAAGAATACCTACAATCTACTCTTTATAATAGTATATAATACAATAATTATATTAAATAATTAGTATATAATACAGTAACTATATTGTATAATTAGTGTATAATACAATATAATTAGTATATAATCCAATAATATTAACTATAATTCTAAAGCTGTACATTAGATCTCTAGACTTATTCATTCTATAAGACAACTTTTTACCTTTAGTCCTACATTTCCCTGTTACCTACCCCTCTCTGCCCCTGTTAACCACATTCTACTCTCTGTTTTTATGTATTAAATATGTATAGATATAGATAAAAATACAGATATATAGATGTAGATTCTACATATAGGTGAGATTATGCAATATTTTTATTTATCTGGTTTACTTCACTTAACACAATCTTCTCTAGGTTCATCCATGTTGTCACAAAAGCAGAATATTGTTCCTCCTTAAGGCTGAATAATATTCCATTTTATATATACACCATGATTTTTTAAATCTGTTCACCCATCAGTGGACACATATTGTCTCCGTAATTTGGCTGTTGTGAATAATGATGCAATGAACATGAGAGTGCAGACACATTTCTAAGGTGGTGATTTCATTTCCTTTGGGCATATAAGCAAAAGAGGGAGTGAAATATATCTCATTAATGTAATAAAAAAGATAGATCATAATATTATCTCAATAGGTACAAAAAAGTAATTAACAAAAAATCAACAATCTTTTATGATAAAAATACTCAAGGAAAAGGAAGTGTCTCAACATAATAAAAGCCATTTGTGAAAATCCCAGAGTTAACATCATAATCAATGGGGAAAAACTAATATCTGGTACAAGGCAAGGATGCCCATTCTTGCCACTTCTATTCAAAATAGTACTAGAAGTTCTAGCAAGAGCAATCAATTAAGGAAAAAAAAGGCCTTGAAATCAGAAAGGAAGAGTAAAAGCTATATTTGCAGATGATAAGATTCTATATGTAGAAAACCCTAAGACTCCAAAACTGAGTACAGTTAGAACTAGTAAATGAATTCAGTAAAGTGTCAGGATAGAAAATCAGCATACAAAAATCACTTGCATTTATTTACATCAATAATGACCTATCCAAAAAAGAAATCAAGAAAATAATCTCATTTACAATAGCATTGAAAAGAATAAAATACTGAGGAATAAATTTAACCAAGGAAGTAGAAAATCTGTGCACTGAAAATTATAAAACATTGATGAATGACATTGAAACAATCATGAATAAATAGAAAGATGTCCTGTATTCATGTATTGTAAGAATCAATATTGTTAAAATGTCCATACTCTCTGCTATGGTCTGAACGTGTCTCCCTAAAATCATGAGTTGAAACTTAATGGCCCATATGATAGTATTAAGAGGTGCAATCTTTAAAATTTAATTAAGTTATGAAAGCAAAGCCCTCATGGATGGAATTCGGGCCCTTACAAAAAGGTTTGAATAAATAAGTTCACTCTTTTGTTTTTCTGC